>NC_000006.12:6272121-6423636 GCF_000001405.40 Homo sapiens | reverse complement strand
TAAATCTTCTGATACATGTCACTGGGGAGATCTGCTGCTGCTGCTGAGAGAGCTGGAACCAAGGCAGGTGTCTCTGCCAGTCCCTGAGGGCACCCAGACCCATCAATGCACACAACCCCAAGTTTTTGGAGGAGAAGGTCCTCACTGCTCATGCTGACACCAGCCAGCTGCTCCAAAAACAGAAGCATCTATCTTCACAGCCATGATGGGGCTGAATAATGCAGGATGGTGGCTGGTTTATGTGTGCCACTCTCTTACCTTGGAATAGCAGCCTCTGACTTTATCCAGCACTCCTCTAGTTGTTTTAAGTGTCCAATCAGGTTCTAGAATTCTGATGTAGCTGATTCAAAAGTGCTTTTTCCAGTTCATTTCTTGTTTTGTTGAAGGGAGCAACTTCAAGACCTTCTCATTCCACCATTTTGTGTTATGTCACTTGTATGAATGTATTTTGAAATGCATGTAAATGGTGCCTATTCTTCTAAAATTTCACTTTTTACTTTTTTCACCAACCATAATGTTTTCCAGAAATTCATGTTTCTTCCAACTGCTCCATTATACTCCACAAATGTGCATCTGCATTATTTTACCTGGCTTATCTCCCAGAGTAAACACCAGGTTACATCTAGCTCCTCAATGTCATAAGTAAAACTGTAGTAGAATCTTTGCTCATGTCTTCTTATGATTCTGTGTAAAATAATTTGGGCATATAAGCCCACAAATGGAACTGCTGAATTCTAATATATTAGAGTTTGTGTGTTCTTAGTTTGTCTAAGTACAACCAGATAGGTCTCTGAAGTGGCTACACCAGACTATACTCCTACCAGCAATTCATGAAAGTTTTCTATCTCTACAATCTTTTACCAGAGCTTAGCATTACACAGCTTTTTTATTTTATGCACTCTTATATGTATGGACTTAGTTTATGTTTCCATGATTTCTAATTATTTTAAGCATTTCTTCCATAGCATTTTCCCAAAATGGTATGTGCCTTTCCACCTCTGTCTGAGAGGATTAACCCTGCATTGCCTGAGGAAATGGTAATGGCCCCCTCTGAAACAGTGGCCAACCATGACACTGCTGATTCTCCCAAAGACCCACCTCCACCACCCTTCTTTGCTTCTAGACCTATAACTAGACTCAAGTCCCAGCAGGCCTCTAAAGGCAAAGTACAAAGTGTGACCCATGAGTACACTACCCTCCAAAAGAACTACTTGCATTTTCTAATTTATATCAGCAGAAATCCAGGGAATATGCATGGGAATGGGTATTAAGGGTGAGGGGTAATAGTGGAAGGAATAAAAAAATGGGATCAGGTTGACTTTATTGATTTGGGCCCACTAAGCTGAGATTCTGCATTTACTGTTGCAGCTCAGGGACTTAGAAAGGGCTGTAATTGTTTGGTTGGTTGGTTGATTGGCTAAAATATGGATCAAAAGATAGCCCACCGTGAAGAAGCTGGAGATGCCTGATTGCCCTTGGGTTAACATGGAGGAAGGGATTCAAAGGCTTAGGGAGACTGAAATGCTAAAGTCACTTAAAACTTGCTGACCCATGCTGGGAAAGTCAAGAAAATATACCTTTCACCAACATTTTAAGAGAGTGGTTTGTGAGAGGAGTCCCAGCATCCCTGAAGAGCTCCATGATTATTCTTCTCAATAGGTCAGATCTTCTAGTGGGAACCACAGATATTCAACTGGAAAACTTAAATCCAGTGGGTATAATAGGATTCTGGGATGGCAGGAGCCAAGATGCAGCTGTCATCCCAGAATCCTGCCAAAGGCAAGGTGGGCATAGTTACCATAAAAAACAGCAGAGACAAAGCAAAAATCAGAATAGTCTGACCTATGTAAATCTACGACATTTGCAAATTAATCATGGTGTTCCTAGAAGTGAAACAGTCAGGAAGCCTATCTAAATTTTTGCTTGATCTGTATAAGTAGAAAACTTGCAGGTCAAGTGAACAAAAGTTTAACTCAAATAATAAAAACTGAGACTCAAATCATGGCCCCTCAATCAATTCCCAGATGAGCCAGTTTGCAGAGCCAGAACCCCCTGAATGAAAGGGAGGTCAGGTCCTCTTCAGGAAAGACTCCATACGCTACTAAAAATTTATACTGTTAATCACTCTCCAAGCCTTCTCCAAAGGGACCTGTGGTTTTTTTTTTTTCCAGGGTAAATGTGCACTGGAGAAAAGGAAATCAAACCTTTAGGGGACTACTAGACACTAGCTCTGAACTGACATTGATTCTGAGAGACCTGTAGCATCATCTTAGCTTTCTGGTCAGAATAGGGGCTTATGGAGGTCAGATGATCAATGGAGTTTTAGCTCAGGTATGGATCCAGTGGGTCTCTGAACCCATCCTATGGTTATTTCCCCAGTTCCAGAATGCATAATGGGAATAGACATACTTGGCAGCTGGCAGAATTCCCACATTTCTTCCCCAACCTGTGAAATGAGGACTGTGATGGTGGAAAAGGCCAAGTACAAGCCATTAGATCTGCCTCTACCTAGGAAAATGATAAATCAAAAGCAATATCACATCCCTGAAGTAATTGCAGAGATTTGTGCTACTATCAAGGACTTGAAAGATGCGGGAGGCGGGTAATTCCCACCACATCCCTGTTCAACTCTCCTATTTGGCCTGTGTAGAAGACAGATGGAATCTTGGGGAATGACAGTAGGTCACTGTAAGCCTAATCAAATGGTTACTCCAATTGCAATGGCTGTACCAGATACGGTTTCATCACTTGAACAAATTAACACATCTCCTGGTACCTGGTATGCAGCTGTTGATCTGACAAATGTCTTTTATTCCATCCCTATCTATAAGGCCCACCAGAAGCAATGTGCCTTCAGCTAGCAGTATATCTTCACTGTCCCACTTCAGGGTATACTAATTCTCCAACTCTATATCATAATCTAGTTTGCAGGGATATCGATCACTTTTCTTTCCACAAAATATCACACTGGTCCATTACATTGATGACATTATACCGATCGGACTAGTGAAGGAGAAGTAGCAGCTACTCTAGACTTATTGGTAAGACATTTGCATGTCAGAGAGTGGGAAATAAATCAAACTAAAATTCCGGGGCCTTCTACCTTAGTGAAATTTTTAGGGGCCTAATTGTGTGGGGCATGTCAAGATACCCCCTCTAAGATCAAGGATAAGCTGTTGCATCTGGTCCCTCCTACAACCCAGAAAGAGGCACAATGCTTAGTGGGCCTACTTGGGTTTTGGAGGCAACACATTCGTAATTTGGGCATGTTAATCTGAACCATTTGCCAAGTGACCCTAACAGCTGCTAGTTTTGAATGGGGACCAGAACAGGAGAAGGCTCTGCAACAGGTGCAGGCTGCTGTGCAAGCTGCTCTTTCACTTGGGACATATGATCCAGCAGATCCAATGGTGCTTGAGGTGCTAGTGGCAGACAAGGATGCTGTTTGAGGCCTTTGGTAGGCACCTATAGAAGAATCACAGGGCAGGCCTTTAAGATTTTGGAGCAAGGCCCTTCCACCATCTGCAGGTAACTGCTCTCCTTTTGAAAGTCAGTTCTTGGGTTGTCACTGGGTCATAAAAGAAACTGAACACTTAGCCATGGGCCACCAAGTTACCATGAGACCTGAGCTGCTCATCATGAACTGGGTGTTATCTAACCCAGCAAGCCACAAAGTTGGGTGTGCATGTGTGAGGGTAGGGGGTATATGGAAAATCTTCGTACCTTCCACTCAATTTTGCTGTGAAGCTAAAGCTGCTCTAAAAAATATTCTATTTTATAAAAAGCCAAATAAAATATTTGAAAAATTTAAAAAAGTGGTGAATTCACATCTGTGACTTCTAAGGGGTAAAAAATACAAAGTTTAGTGGAAGCAAATTCTTAACAATGACAATAAGCCTTATTTTTTAAAACTGCTTAATTCCATCTGTTGGCTATTCAAGGTCTTAGGATATACTCTGCCACTAGCTTAATCAGGCCTTGACCTTCTGAAACACATTTATACAGATATCTGTGGTTCAAGTTTCTTCCTCTAATAGTCTAGATTAGAATCCTCTTAGAATGTTCTTTCTAAGAAATAGATCTAATTTTTAAGCAATATTCTACATTTTAAAATCCCTCAGAGGAGACATCATAATTAGCTTAATATAGGTTACAGATGGTTACATAAAGCAATAGTTATAGATATATGCATATAAGAAGGTTAGTGTGCACACATATATACCCTTGCTCTGTCAGCTGAGAGGTCTAGAAGAAGGGCTGTGGGTATACCCCAGTAGCAGTGAGCACACCTAGTGCCCAGATCTTGTTTTCTAATATTAATAGTCTTCAATAAAAGAAACCAGGGCTCCTCAGGGAAATAATAATTCTAGGACCGGGACAGGAAATAGACAAGATGAACTTGAAATATCTTGTAGCTCTAGAAAGTAATGGAAGTATTTTTTTTAAGCCATAATATCGCAAGGTTTGGGGTGGGTGGGAGAAGGGTGTCAAAGAGACACAGGAGTGAATTAAAAGAGCTCCCAGTGGCCAAAACTTTATTTTGAGCAACAAAGTAAAGTAGTATGGAATATAAACTAAAGCATAAAGTAAATATTGATGAGTGCATACTAGTATAAATAAATTATTGATTGAATAAATAAATAACTGGAGAAAAACAGACACATGTCCCATGCAGAATTAATTTAGGTAGATACTCTCCCCTCAAGAAAGGTAAGCATAGTTCTCCACTCTTTAAGTGCAGGCTGCACACGGTAAGTTCCTTCCAAAGAGCATGGCGTGCATTGGAGAAGCCTGACAAACACTACCCTGTCAGGTGATGAAGGCCAATGTCAACAGTGAAAAGACATTGATATCATGTATCCTTGTTGTAGTAGGATGACAATGGCATCTTGCCTCCATGGTCTTCCTCTCTTAAATCCACAATTCCAGCCTAATCACAAGACAGATGTCAGAAAAATCCTGGTTGAAGGATATTCTACAAAACGGTTGACCGGTACTTTTCAAAACTGTCAAGGTCATCAAAAAACAAGGAAACTCTGAGAAACGGTCACAGCCAAGAGGAACCTAAGGAGATAAGAGGACTAAATATAATGGGGTATCCTGGATGGGATCCTGGTGCAGAAAAAGGACTTTAAGTAAAAACTAAGTATGAACTTCAGTTCATAATAATCTATCAATATTGGTTCATTAATTGCAACAAATGCATCATACTGAGGTAAGATAATAATAAGGGAGGGTCTGGTGCAATTACTTGCACCTGTAATCCCAGCACTTTCAGAGGTCAAGGCAAGAAGAAGGCTTGAGCTCAGGAGTTCAAGGCTGCATTTAGCCATGCTTGTGTCACTGCACTCTAGCCTGGGTGACAGAGGTAGACCCTCTCTTAAAATAAATAAATAATCATAAATATGTAAATAAATAGGGGGAAATGAATGTGTGGAGTATATGGAGGCTCTCTGTACTATCTTCTCAATTTTTTTCTGTAAATCTAAAACTATTTTAAAATGAAAAATGTTTATTTAAAAAATCACTCCAGAGACTGTGAAGTGCAGTCTCTTGGAGTCCATAGTGGGAGTGGTGGGTGGAGGGTCCCTAGGCATTTCTAAGCAGTTTAAATGGTTGCGAGTGTAAGGCGTTGTGAATGAATGGTCCACCTCCAGATGGAACTGAGTGCCTCTACACATGTGTGTGCACAGGTATGCAGGGTTCTGTGTGTCCAGCAATAGCTTCTATGCAGGAAAATGAGCAGGTTGTTCAAAGAATATTCTCTCTGCTTAATGAATTAAAAGAGAATGTGTTTTAGAAACACGCAATGTGCACTCACACACAAACACACGCACGCGTTAACAATGACTCTAGGGCAGCCTCATCCCTAGAGCTTTTCCTTTTAACTGCTCTGTCACCATCACAGATGGGTGATCATACCAGTCTTTTTTTCTCTACCAGAAAGTGACACTCCCTGACTCCCACCCTCTGTCCCTCCCCGCCACACCACACCCCACTCTGCTTTGTTCTTCTTTTCAAGGCCTTCTGGCATCACCTCAAAATAAACTAAAATCTCTTCAAACTGGATCCTTGAATAATTCCAGAGGGGAGAGGTTCTTTGTAAATTCTGTTTGCTTACGGATTCCGTACAGTGTTTGCAAATTCTACAGTGTGGGAAACCTCCAGACATATTTAAATCCCTTTTCCAATTACCCAGCTCCATCAAAGATGTCACTGACTTGAAGCAAAAATCCAAAAAGATTGTTTTCTTCAGAGCATGTGTAAAACTCCAGAATTTTTTTAAAAAGCTTGTTGCTTACAGGGTAGCATCACCTGGACATCAAGATGCGTAGCTTCTGGCAGTCCATTTTGTCCTATTGGCTACTGAAAATCAGAGCTGGAGGGGCCGGGCCCTGCTTCTGGCAAGTGGTCCAGTTTCCCAGCATGTGGAGGATTTAGAACAAATTGGAAAAGAACGTTTTAGAGCTGTGCCACCCACATTCAGCTTGGGTGCTCCCAGGAACCACAGCTTAGCAAGAGCTACAAGGAGTTCGTAACAGTTGTCGCTCCCACCTCCCGAAAGGCTCCTCAGTGTTAGAAATCTGATTACCTTGGGACCAGGTTTTTTCCCTGTTTGAGAAGAGCAAGGTGACAAATTGCTAAATATTAGGCCTGGGAAGCTTTGTTATCTTATTCCATGGCCCTTGGACTTTTGGGATTCTCACTTTGGAATGAAAATCTTGTGTTGCAGTTGCTCATAGCCAAAAGGGTCTTCTATTGCCTCTTGGAGCTGTCTAGCTTCTAAGAGGATGAAGCCCCAAACAGTTCTTCCCAGGAAATCCCACTTTCCCGTAGGGCAGAAATGATGGTCCTATGCCTTAACATGAAGTTTCATTAGGAAAGAAATCCAGCCATGCCATGTGATCTTCAGTGTATGTGCATTGATGGCCCTGTGTCCCTGGGGCAGGAACTGCTCTCTTGGGACCTTCCTTCATCAGAGACTTCTCAGCCTGCCCTGGAGGCATACTCTGCTGAAGCAGGTGGCACTGCTGCTGATTGGGAGCCCAGGGGTTTTTGTAGCGTGGTCCTCTGTGGGGTCACTTGGGCTGACTTTCAGGTCTCTCTGATCAGGGGACTTAGGGCCTCTTCCTTTTATGTTATCATCCATTTCCTGATTTGGAATTGTATGCATAATGTCTTCCATAAACATGGTTTCCTCTGAACAAGCTGGAGGAACCCTATCCTGCAAGGGCCTCATTCTTCTGGAAGACACGTTTACAATTCAAGTGTTTCTCCGCCCTCTCCTGCTGACCCAGACACGGTACTGAATCCTTGGCCTCTTGTATGCTTTCTGTCCATTGAACAAGAATCAGTCTTCATCCATAGGGGTCTTACTCTACCCTGGACGGCCTTGGTTTTAAAACTGAAAACCCTCATTTCGTGAACCTTTTCAGTCCCCGGTAAACTGGACAGTTGGTCACTCTATCTGAGTGACCACTCAGATTCCCTCCTAGGTTTGGTAGCTGGCTCAATATCCTAAATAAGATGTGCCAAGAGATGAACTGAGCATCCAGGAGTTGCTAAAATGCCTGTTTTGTTTTATGGATAAATCCCTCTTGCTCGTGAGTAGAGGCAGACAAATGAAATGGAACCCCAGTGATGTGCACACAGAGCCCCAGGTCCCTGGTCCCCTTTATCAACAAGGCTGCATTTCCTGAATGTTTATTCATGTATAGATGCAATCAATGGACCACATGCAGCCATGCTAGGTGAAAGGCTTCAGAGCCAACTGCTCAGGATGCCTGGCTTAGCTTTCTAAATGATGGGATGGAGAGGTTTACAAATGCAGCTAAGCCTATGCAGTCTTGTTCACTGGGCTCTGGAAAACAAAACAACAACACCCAGTACTCCATGAATAGAAACCATCTCTTGCTGCCACTGTTGTATTACAGTCTGTGAGTTAAATGAGCGCTAGGATTTCTGAGAAAGAAGGGATTCTGCTAGGTTTGAGAGACCCAGGAAGGCTTCTGGAAAGCAAGAAATTGAGCTGTGCTTTGAAAAGTGATCTTTGACGAAGAATGGAAAGGGGATCCCAGGGTCATGTTCTGAAGCATAGAACCACACCATCAGTTCATGAATACATGTATACTCATGCGCTTGGCTAACTTTCTTTGCTACCATTCTGTTTTTGGAAATGGAAGAGCATTTCCAAGAGTATTGATGCCAACTCCAAATTGATTTGACTATACTATTTAAGCCTTCTAAGAAAATGAGCAATAGTGGGGACCTTAGTAACCCACTTTAGCAATAAAACATCTTCCCAGTGAGTATATTTTTTCTCTTATTTTTCTGCCGTTGTTAGTGGTTTTGCTTCATCATGATTATCACGCCTGTTACTTTGCTTGTATTAATTAAATTGTGGAAGGAATCATGCCAGAGATATATTTTCTCTACTGTCTGAATCATATCCTGGGAACAAGTTTATATGTGTGAGTGTGAGTGTGCAGGGGGAGGAAGTGTTGATGAAATGATGAGAAATTGGGGAAACAGTTGGGGAATAATGAGTGAAATGACTTGAAGTATGACTGTGCACTAATTTTCTCCTAGTAAATAAGATAGGCTCAGTCAAACGCGTGAATTAAGTTTTCTACGAGCTGTGCCTTCATTCTGAAGCTTTTTCCTCCTTTTCCCTTCTAGACTCAGATTACCTTATTTTCCTGCCTTCCTCTCACATTAAAGCATGTGCTTAAAATCTTTGTTCACTCTAAGAGGTAAATAATAGCTGGAGAGTCAAAGGGCCACCTGTAATATTCTTTTCTATTTTAATTAGAGTATTCTCAAACTATAAGCCTGGTAGCTACAATTATGGAATATAGGTTATAGGATTGTTGGTGGGGAAGGGTTTTTAAGTAGAGGTCTTTTGAGGATCCTCCAGACTAGTTACAGCATATCAGACTCCACCTAAAGATAAGGCCAGCTTTGACAGAGAGGGATTTAATCAAAGAAGAATACAAGAGGGAAATTTTATACTTGAATACCATAGTTCAGCCCATTGGAAAAACTGATGTTTCTGAATTAGATGAATATCTCCTCCCTTTTTTGTTTGCTGCCTAACTACACTTCTTTAAAAGTCTAAATCTCTTTCTAAAAATTTAATAGATTTGGACTCAGCCAACAGATTATCTATTCCAATTGATCAATCTGCTAATGTTCTTTGAGGGTCTATATACGAATGGCATTTTGCTGCTTACTCTGTTTACAAAATGAACATATAGATACCTTCTTTACAAGGCTCTTTTAATAATTAGAGGTAGTCTACGCAAAGCTTTTAGTATTTAGTACAAAATAAGCACTCAATAAGTAGTTGCTGTTGCTGTTGTTTATCACCATTATTTCAGCTCAAACACTCCCTGACGCTTGATTTTGGACAAGTTAATCAACTTCTCTGGGCCTCAGTTTTCTCTTTGGGAAAATGGAGATAATATGGTAGCTCCTGCTTTATAAATCTAATATGAGTCCTAGAGAAGATAACTTATAAAATTGCTTTGAAAACTATGAAACACTGAGCAAAATACAGAGAATTATCCTTCATCTCTTAGAAGGACGAGAGCTCAGTTCCAAATGAAAGGAAGCAGTTAAGTATTCTTGTTATATCTCCTGTTGTCTGCAGCAGGCTTGGGAAGAGGTCTTGGGCCACATCTACTGTACTGTCCACTGACAGAGGCATAAGGCTAGTTCTTTGGGTGTATAGGATAGAAGAAAGTAGCATTAAAATTAGTCTGAATTCTCACCTGATTGCACCATCCATTTGTTCATTTATTCAGCACTTATTTCTTGGTAGACTTCCAAGAGACAGAGAGAGAGAGAGAGAGAGAGAGAGACAGAGAGACTATTTTCCTGGCCTACTAATACTTCTGAGAACCTAACCAAGAGAATCTTTTCCTTAAATCTGTATTGCATAGCAAAGTGGGCTGTTGCACGTGGCTAAGGGGTGACTGGGAGCTCCCGAAATAATCCAGGCCTCTGACATCAGACTGTAGGTGCTGCCTTCTAAGGACTATGTGACTGGGGTGCTGGAGATTCACAGAAAACCCTTGAAAGAGGCTTGGAAGGGCTAATGGTTTGTTGAGTTCCTGAGTCTGTGATAGTGATTATGGAACACTGTTTAGAAGGTGTTGCATAATGAGCCTTTGGTTCACTAAGAGGCATACATTTTTATAATCTATCTAAGGGAATTGAACTCCCTTATTAAAACAAAATGCAGACTCTCCAAAGTTTTAGTCCTCATAGGAGACTGCCCAGGTAAGACAAGGTATTGGGGCCAAGTGCATCTGCCTCTGTTCCTCCTAGATTTTATCTGTCCCATGGGTTTTCTCTTCTTAAATTACTGTGGCTACCATTGCACTGACTTCCTTTCTAAAATTCTGTCCCCAAAGTAAATGAAAGATCACTTTTCTGAGTTCTTACATTTTGAGGACTAGAACATTCTAGAGGACATTACTTAATGCCGTAGAGGATAAAAGGAAAGAAAGCAAAGATAATGTAAAATACAGAGCACAGATTTCTCTTGCACTGCCAATGTCAGTTCCTACTCATTCTCCTCGTATGTACGTCGAGAGGTATATATTCTTATCCCCAAGGATGGAACCACATTTTGCCTGAGCTTCCAGCTTCCCAATCCCTTACATTTTCTGCAATTTCCTGTTCCTGTAGATCATGTCTTAGACACTTTGTACATTTTGAGCGCAAGCCAAAGTCAATAAACAGCCTTGGAAGACCCTCACATAGTTGTGATTTCTAGTCTGCAAACTTTTTCCCAAGAGAAGTGCAACATATATAAAAATACATTTGTTGCATGACCTTGTACTTCTCACATAGCAGCCTTGCATTAAAGGGCCATTGCAAGCCCTTGCATTAAAAAAAACCAAAAAAGCAAATTCAGTGACAGCAGTATTTGTGCAAGTATGACAATGACCAGCATGGTGGCCATGAAAATGCACCACTCAGATCTGCTGAAGAAGCAAAAGCCGCTGTCCTCTGGATCTACCTTCCATTCACTGGAAGCCACACTCCCCATGGGCTGCTCTCGGTCAGTCTGAGCTTGGCAGTGGTCTAAGACAGGCCCAATCTGGTGAGACACAGGACTCCTCCTACCAGGTGACTCTGACTAGGGTGCTCGCCAACAGTCTCACCGAATCTTGCCTAGAACTGGGCTGTGGTCCAAGTCTCCTCTTGCCCAATTCTCCTTCCTTGCCTTTTTCCTTCCACAGTTGTCAGACCTTCCTTGTAGTCTCAAGGTGCTTCCTAACTCTCTGGCTGCCTCACCCATAAATCTCTTGTACATCTAATCCCGTTCTGGCATTTGCATCTCAGCAGACAGAAACTAACATAGCCAGTAATCAAAAAGATGTTTGGTTTCCAACTGGAGCAGTATTTGCTGGTATAACTCACATGAATTTGGAGGTTCATGTGTTTCAGTCCTGCAGAAACCTGCTAGCCTCTGGCTGCCCTGGTGGCATAGAACACTAGGTGAGCTGTTGAAGTCAGAGCAGAGTGGACTCTAGTTTCTTCTCGCTGAGCTGTTTCCTCTATTTTCTGTGGCAGCTGCATCAGAAAAGGGGATATTATCATTTAGCTCCTTCCAGATCAAGAGCCTGACTCTTCAGGGGTAACGCCAAGGAATCTCACCTGAGCCTGTCCGTGTTATAGTACCCAAATCGTCTTGTTATTCTTTACAACCTAACTGGTCAGGAGCTTCTGAGAGTTGCAAAACAAACAAAAACAAAACAAAATCACCACAAACATCTTGTTTCGGAAACCTTGAAAAAGGTGGAACTGTGGTCATTGGCCCAGTATAGAATAAGCTGGTTGTTTGGGAAAGCAAAATAAAATTCCATCTATGTCCACAGCTGTGCTGGATTCTCCACACACAGACAAAGCCTAAGCCCGAAGCCCCATCAACACACGGGCACCAAATAATTGTGAAGAGTTCCGTTCCCATAAGCCTATTCAGAATTTTGCATCAAAATGATTAAAAAATGCCTTTAAATTTGGTATATGCACATTTTTTACTTTATAATTTAGCTTTTTTTTAAAATTTTTTGATGTGTCTTCATCTAGTCTCTAAGCATGGCCTCTGGACAACCAGCTCTGCACAGCTTGAAAACTCACAAAAGGGTCTTGATCAGTTATGTGTTGGTAAATGTTTAATTATTGCATCTCTGAGGAAAGTATTTATAGTGTTTGCTGTCTTTCATGGGTGTACATACTCCCTGCATGGCCAATGCCAAGCTGCCAATGTGGTGTCACTGAAAATATTGTTGAAAAGAGAAGCACACTGTTGGCTCCCATGAGTGGTTGGGAGCAGGGCCCAGCACTGCTCCAGTTTATTTCCCCTGTGCTTCCTGCTTTCAACCCTACACAGCAGGCAAGGCATCTCTGGGGATGAGAAGATCACCTTTGCCAAATTTATCTCAGAGGCCCCTTGTCAAATTAATGTCACTGCCTGTGTATACCTAAAGCTCTGGTTTCTTTGGAATTTTAGTAAATGATATGCTTTCTTTCCTCGTGTAAGACATCCATAGACATCCCAAGAAAACCATTATAGGAATAATGAGTAATTAACAGGAGGAATAATGCTTTTGTCCTTCTCACAATTTCAATCTTGCTCCTCTGCCATGAGGAGCCATTTCAATGTCCAAGGCATTTAGGCCAATCAAGTTTAGAGATTAGTTTTGTGGTTAACTCACCAGCCCAATAATAGCAAATAGATTTGAGAAGATTCTTGCTGGGTCTGTGAACTGCTTTGAGGATCTAATAAATGCTATCATTCTTGCTACAGAAAAATGCCTTAGCACTTAAAAGCATGCCTACAATTTCATGGATGGCATGGATTCCTCCTCCTCCCCGCCCCAGGTCATTCATAAACCCTAAATCAAAAACACGTACTTTAATGTGACTCTACAGAAACTCTGTTATTTATATCTAAAAGGTTCCAAATCTAGGCTAGTGGAACCCAAGAGAATTTTGTATAGGAGATGCACTTGCTCTGTACATGATACTATTCTTTCTAAGATGTGCTCTGACCAAGAACGTCGGATACTAAAAAGAGGTTTTTTAAAAATATCAAATCCTAATATTAGGCTTGGCAGAGGCATTTCTGTATGCAGAGGTCTCTGACTTCCCTCAGGATCCTGTGCAACTATCCAAGTAATTAACGTGAGCTGAGGTTACAATATTTTGGAGCTGCGTATTTCACAAAGGGCAAGTGCTGATTAATGAGCTGATGTAAGTGGAAGTGTCAGGAGTGGCAGTGGGCAAGGGAGAGAACCTGGGAGCAGAGCTGGGAGATGAGGTCTTTGGGTGAGAAGGACGGTAAAGTCCATAGTAGTCTCAGTAAAAATGTATACTGTTGAGCAAGAAACCTTTAAATGGCCTTTTTCTTTTTTGCCCCCTCCTAAAAGATTTCCTAATCCAGCCAGCCTCTGATGAATGTCTGGGGCTACATTTTCTTTTCTCTTCCAAACATCCCTTCTATTTCTTTTAAGTTCTGCCGAAATCATCACTACCCATGAGTTGGGCAGGGGTGCCTGTGCTGCCTGTGCTGCCTGTGCCACCTTTTCACAGACACAAACTTCCCAATCTGTAAATTAGGCCACGGCAGAAGAAAATTCACTTTGGAAGCTGCTTCCATGTGCCCAGTTTTCTTCAGTACTGTAGGACAAATTCCATCACACTGACCTTTGGGGATCGGTATGCATGTTTTTCATTGGTCATTGCTGGAATTTGGTTTTCACATGGATTTTAAATATTTTTTATTTATTTTGTTGGTTTTGCAATGTGTGGCCAGAGGGCTTTGACCTTCAAATTTTTATGAGAGCTTCCCAAAGAGCATAACAACAAGGAAAGTCTTGACCCTGTTGATTCAATCTGAATCAAGTGACTTCTAGATGCAAGGCACAGGGCACAGTGCCAGGATGAAGTGCCCAGTGAATGCAGACCTGGTTCTTGCCCTCAGGAGCAGTGTGGAGACATCCGCTTATGGAGGAATCACACAAATGAATGCAAAACCACATCTGAAATGCCCAGTGCAAAGGGGAGGGGCCAGGTGCTATGAGAACTTGCAATACAGGAGCTGACCCAGTGAGGGAGGTCCCAGGTCCCTTCTCTCCGAGAAGGTGATGACGAAATGTAGTTCTCACCTGAAATAAAGTAGCAGGGAACCGTGGTGGGCAGGGCTGCGGAGCAGAGGAGGGGATTTGTGCTAAAGGAAACAGCAGCAGTGCTGGGGAGGCATGAAAGGGTCCAGGATCGGGAAAAGCGTGTGAGTGCTCATGATATGCCAACAAATAGGAGCAACAAAACAATGGGAATGATTAACATAGAATCTGGGATCAGAGGTGTTGGTGGTGGTGAGGAATGATGTGGGGGGTGCAATCTGAGAGGGGAACACAGGGGCTTCAGCCATATTGTAAAAATTGTTGTTTTAAGCAGGGGAGTGTAGTAGGCAGTTAATTTTAATACTCTTTATATGTTTTGTCTATCCAAAATATTTAATATATTTTTTAAAAAACGCCAGCAAGTCTGAAGAGAAAAGGAGAGTGAGTAGCAGAGAAATGAAGCTGGAGGGCTAGAATAGATATCAATTAGAATATACAGTCTTGCATCACTCAATGACAGGGATATGTTCTGAGAAATCCATTATTAGGTGATTTCATTATTGTGCGAACATCACAGAGTGCCTTCACACACGCCTAGATGGTATAGCCTACTACACACCTAGGGCATATGGTAGAGCCTATTGCTCCTCAGCTACAAACTTTTACAGGAGGTTACTGTACTGAATACTGTAGGCAATTGTAACACAATTATAAGTATTTGTATCTCTAAACATATCTAAACATAGAAAACGTACAATGAAAATATGGTATTATAATCTTATGGGACCACTGTCATGTATGTAGCCTGTCACTGCTTGCAATACCATGGAGTAGCACATGACTGTATATAGTCCTGCTTAACTCAATTAAAATAGTGTGATGGCTGTTTTCACTTAGAGTTGGAGAGGCACAATTATTGCTTATGTAATACTTTTAACGAAGAGCTTTTAACATGTATCTATTCTATCAAAGAGCGGTCGTGGTGTTATCCTGTTGTTGAGCATAGACTGTCAGTCCCTGATCTGCATGGTGTGTGGGACAATAAAAACAGCTCTGCTACCCTGCAAAACCATGTTCATAATCATTACGATTGCTTTGTGGTTTTTCAATTTTTTTCCATAATATGAAAAACGCTCTTACTATGGGTATAAATATACAGAAAACCGAAAAATATAGTAAAACTAATATTTATTTAGTGCAGTCTAATTTAAGTCATTAGAAACATGGAGCATTCAGGAGTTTTATTTTTTGTAAAAAACTTACCAAGAGTAGTTTGAAGAGTGCTTGCCTTCTTTTTGTCATAAACCTTACTCTATGGAGCAAACATAGTTTCTATGCCTTGGCAGAATGTCACACTCCTTTCTAAGTTTGGATCAGCTTCCAACATTTTATCCTTTGAACTTTCAATGCCATGAAACATCTTTCAATTCCTTCAATATGATTTTTTTTTTTTTGCTGATGTGTCTTTCTCTCAGACATCTTACCTTAACTTTCAATCTTTTCCTTGTTGCTGCCTTCCTAATTCTTGTGTATAAATTCACCTTCCTTAAGTTCCTCTGGCTGCCTATCTAGAGTCTTTCCAATAGACACAAGGTTCACATCTCCACAGTCAGCTGTTTTTCCTATAACTCCATTTACTTTCAATGTGAATTTCACTTTCACCATTATCATTTTTGTTTTTTACTAGACTGTCATGTTTATTAACTAATTCCCTCTTTTGAGTATTCATTTTTATAAAACGTCATGTATGTTTACCACTGGGAGCCAAGGAGGCAACACAACCACAGCTTTTCTGTCTGTGCATCAACTGATAACAGATGCACAGTGACCAGTCACTGGGGGAATGTGAAGGAAGTGATGTAGTTGGTCTCTGATCATGATGTACATCTGTTATTGCGTGGTGATCTGTGGATTGAAGAGCTAACAGTGAAGTTTGTACTTCATGCATTTACTCAGAGTTAGTGTACTGTGGTAACGGAAATTGGAACTATGTTGTTGGGGGGAACTGGTGGTAACTGTGGTAACTGAAATTCATGCATGAGAGAACTTTGCAAAGTGTAGACAGCTTGTATCTACACATGAGCCAGAAAGAATCATTCAGTTTGGAGAGAGCAGAGCAGAACAGAGCAAAGCTCTGAGGAAATGAAATGCAGGACAGTTTAGGTGAGAAGGAGGGAAAAACTGGAACGTCAGGTTCCCAATAGTGAAATGCAACACAGGAAACAGTACCAGCTTCATGTTTGGAGAACTTAGAAAGTGGAGGATGGGAGGCAGAGATAAACAGATGCCTGTTGAAGGAAGAAGACTCTCAAGGGAAAAGCAGAGGATAACCAAGACCAGATGCTCTTGCTTTAATGTTTTGCTAGGTTGGCCAAGCGACTATCAATGCTTACATGGAGAATATCTGATTCATTTTGTGTTTCTCTCTCTTTTTACCCCCTGCCCCCTGACACATGATGAATGTTTTCTCTTATGATGCAAAAGAAGAAAGTATTATAAGAAGCTTAGCATCTTCAAACAAGTGTGTTTGAATGCCCGCTGTTAGGTATTTGTGCATATTTCCACATGAAGTTTATATGTGGCACTTGCCCACTGCAACGAAAGCTTGCCAAACAGAGTCATTCCTACAATGCTGCCAAGAGCTTGGGATTCACTGCAGGAGAGTGATGGCAAGTATCTGGATGAGAGTCAGTGAAGAGGTTTGGAAGATGTTAGAGAGAATTGAGAGACCATATGAAGTACTTTGTCCTGCCAATGCAATGAGTTCTAAAGTAATCCTCTCTTTAGGTTGATGGGGAACTTTGGCTTTGTCATTTTTTTTTTCTTTTTTGACATTGTAGACCAGTCAAGATCTTTCAGCAGCTCCTCTCACTTTGGAAAGAGCTTTGCCTGGAGGCCTCTTTTGTATGTTTCTCCAACTGTTCACAACAAATGATGACACAATGTTTTAGGAACAGAGAGAAAACAGTGTATGAGAAATCAGAATGGAGCCAAAGCCAGCAACCTAAGTGTATTCAGGACATAGGAAAATAAGCGCTGGGATACAGGTGAAAGATCCTGGCCTTTGAAACATGCTGTCTTCAGCATTTCTTGGAAATGGCTGTTGTTTAGATACAAAGTCACCATAATATTTTGGCATGAAGAAAGTCTCTGCAGATCTCATGTTAGTATCCTTTATGGGGTAGCTGATTAATTTGGAGAAATGTCATCTAGTTTGGGTGAGGTACAAAACATGATTTGTAATTTTCTTATTTTGGCTCCTCAAATCTGCAGCCTAATTGTGCAATAAACTCAATAAAATTGGATATGTTTTTAGTCTTGAAAATAAAACAGATTCAGCTCTCACTTCATTCCTGAGCAGGCCTTGGGAATAAACTGAACCATTTTCAGAGTTTTGAGAATGGAACTTCTTTTCATGAACCCCAAAGCCTTTGAAGTAATTTTAGAATTTTTAACTTAGGATATTTCTGCTACTCTGAGGTTCCAGTGAATTTATTTTTAGTTTTAAGAAAAGTAAAATTAAGTCATGAAATTTGAGTCCATTTATAAACAGAATAAAAAATCACCCCCCTTAATGTGGGGATTGTACCTTTCAGTTCTCACTTGGAGGCTTTTCTCCTCTATTCATGTATTTATGGCAGTAAGATTGAGCCCTTTTGTTAAGAAAATATTCCCCACTATTTGAGAACTCTAAAATAGAACAAATCCTTAAAGCAAACAGAAAAGAAGATCTTGACCATATTATCTTTGGTTTTTGTTGGTGACTTTATAGTGATTTTAATTTAGAGTTGGCTTCTGAAAAACATGACTTAAATTCCACTATGGTGAAAGAAATGACAGGAATGTGTCTTCTGCAGAGAAATAGGTATTTCAATCTTTATCTTTCTTAACATTCACCAAAGAAGAGTAGGTTGGTATTATTATTATCACTGTTATTGCTATTTTGCTGATAAGATCAATACTGAAATTTGAGAAATAAAGTATACTTTTCAGTGGGGTTTGTCTGCTTTCAGTAATGATGAGCAAGACAATTTGAAGAAACCCTATTGTTGAGAACAAGTAAAAACAGTTAGATGAAATAGGAATTAAAAAAAAAAACAAAAAAACATTTACAACTTTTGCTGTGAGAGTATTTGCTGATCCAGAGACAACAGTGGAAAAACTGAAGTGAGATTTTGGCAGAATCCCAGGACAAGGGGAACAAGAGTCAAAGTCCACCGAACGTGAAAAATCTGATCTACCCCCACTCATATTTAAAGGTAGGACTCCAGCCTTAGGATGAGAGTAAACCACAAGTAAACCAGCAATCATGCTGACTCAGAGATCAGCTTCTCTTCTCCTGACATCTGAGGAACCTCAAGATTCAACTTGGATTGAGGTGGTCTTGCACTAATGGCCCCCCACACAACTAGTAGAAGCAAATAAACATTCTCTTTGAAGGAAGGTACCATCCTAGGACTCAAATTATGTCTACAACTTAAAAAAGAAATACTATGGGCCGGGCGCGGTGGCTCATGCCTGTAATCGCAGCACTTTGGGAGGCCGAGGCAGGCGGATCACAGGGTCAGGAGATCGAGATAACACGGTGAAACCCCGTCTCTACTAAAAATACAAAAAATTAGTTGGGCGTGGTGGTGGGCGCCTGTAGTCCCAGCTACTCAGGAGGCTGAGGCAGCAGAATGGTGTGAACCCGGGAGGCAGAGCCTGCAGTGAGCCGAGATTGCGCCACTGCACTCCAGCCTGGACGACAGAGCGAGACTCCATCTCAAAAAAAAAAAAAAAGAAAAAAAAAAAAAGGCAATTTTAAAGAAAGAAAGACTAGGACATCTCTCTGTGTTTTAAAATACATAAATGTATTTCTATATAACCAATGAGTCAAAGAAGGGATAATGGATGCTTGAAAATATATTAAACAAAATGCTAAGAAAAATACCACATATTCGAACTCATAGGACACAGTTAAGGGCAGGATTAGAGAAAAACTTATATCCTCAAGGTGAATATGTAAGATAAAAGAAAGTCACAAAAGTAATGAACTAAGCATCTTTCCAGGAAACTAGAAAAAGAACAGCAAAATAAACCCAAATGAAGTAAAAGAAAATATATTTGATGTTGTTTTTTTTGTAGATTCCCCTCAGCAAATTAAGAAAGTTTCATCTTATTCTACTTTATGATGGCACTTCATGATGAATGGATGTTGAAATGTAGCAAACATTTTTTTCTGCATCTATTAACGTTGTTTATGTGGACTTTTTTCCTTTGATCTGTGAGTGTGGCTAATCACAGCAACATATTTTTTTCTTTAATGTTGAAACAACCCTACATTCCTCGGGTGAATTCAATTTGGTCATTTCTTCCTTTTGAAAATTGCTAGATTACATTTGCCGATGTCTTATTCATTCGTTTTGCATTTATGTTTATAGATAAGATCAGTCTGTTATTTTCTTCCTCTTGTTTTACTATCCTTATTGAATTTCGGCATCAAGGTGTTGCTAGAATCATAAGGTGAACTGAGGAACGTGTCCCTCTTTTTCTTATTTAAAGAGTTTGATAAAACTATCAGCATTTTTTCCTTGAATATTTTGTGAGATCATCTAGTGAAGGAAGTTAAATATCCTTGGATTATCATCGTGGAGAGAGTTTGGATTACTAATTCAAGTTCATTGATGGTTATATTACAGTTTATTCCTCTTATTTCTTCTTAAATCAGTTTTAAAAAGATGTATTTTTTAGAAATTTGTCTATTTCATCTAAATTATCAATTCTCTTGACAGAAAGTTGTTAATAATAGTCTTCTGTGCTTAATGTCTGCAGGATACCTAATGATGTTTGTTTATTCATTTTTGTATTATCTCACTTAATCTTTACAAATAAAGCTATGATAAATACTATGATTATTTCCACTCTATAGTTGAGGGAACTGAGTAAGCTTCAGAAAGTTAAGTCATCTCTCTATTAATGGACAGATCATAGATTTGAATCCAGGCAGCTAGGGTTCCCTTCTTTGACTCTTAACTAATCATTATGTTATACTTTTTCCATCATAGTAGTGATGACAATGACACTTCAAAGACCAGGGTATCTACAGTTTTGGTAACACATGGGCTTTATATAATTTTATATTTTTGTTGCTGTTTTATAAAATGTTCACTAAACTAGTTGGACCTGGTTCTAAAGAGTCAACATTGAATCCATCCCTGGATAGGCAATTTTTTTTCTCACTGATTGCTTTAGTCCAAGCTTGTAACAAGACAGCCTTACCAGATTAAATTGCAGGTTTTTGTTTACAAAAAGGTTTGTGTAAAACCCAGACGCACTGTTGGAATTAAGAAGTAATACATCTTCACTTCTAAGACTCTAGGCCAAGCCACCACCATTTCTTGTCTGAGATGCTGTAATAACTTACAGTTGGTCTCCTTTTGATCAATTTTCTACAAAGAAGTCATTATTTTGTTTTAAAAACATACATTATACCATGCCATGTAATTTCCTTATTACAGACCTTCCTTTGGGAATAATATTTTCAGATTTATTATAATGCTTTCTTTTTTCTTTCATTACCAAGGAAACAACCTTGCTGTGGCTTGCTGAAGACACTTAACCTTTGAGGAGTTATTAGGACTTATTATAGAAGAAATCAGTTGGGCTGAGGAAGTGAGACAAGGAAGGGAAGGAGGCCGTTGCGGGCTTCATTAATGAGCTGTTACCATGTGGGCAGCTGGAGCTCCATCCCACTGGAGGGCTTGCTTCTGGGACACTACATATAATCTGCTTCAGAATTGTCCTACTCGAGTGGGGGCGGATTGGTTATTTATCCACCCACTCTTGACTGACATATTGAGATCGTCTTGTGAGGGAATGAACTTTCTGGCACTTCAGGCCTGTCGTGCACATAGACCAAGAATTCCTCGTGATTAGAGAATTCCCTCTGCAAGAGGGTCACAGATGCTTACAGCTAAAAGCCATCTGCCTGTAAGGGAACAGTGGATATCAAGAAAATATGGGTGAAGCCTCAATACTTGCACTGCTGTGGTCAAATTCTGTCCCATCTTAAGTTCACTCTGTCTGATAACTGATTCTTCACAGTGAAATCCAGCCATAATTTCTTTAAAACACAACAAAGCAAAGTTCAGTAGGAGGATTAATAGGACCAGCTACAGTCCCTGCTGCTTCAGTTGATCCCAAGGACATAATAGACATTTACCTCCCTCTTTTACTGTCCACTCTAGATGCTCCTCACGCTCATTCAACACTTCTGCTTGGGTTTCTTGTGCAATCGGTGGCCCAGACATTGATACTGAAGCTTCTGAGTTACTGGTTACTGTGCCCTAGTCATGCCATGATTGCTGACTGCTCTTTCATGGTTATTACTGGACACAGAAGCACAAAAAGCCATCCCTGAGTCCTTGATATACTCTTCTGTGCCACCTTTAGCCAGCAGCAACCATAGATCCTAATGATAATCAAGGTTGATTATGCCCATCAACATGACCATTCGTTTCTTTGCCTGTGTGTATATTGGTATGAGAGCCGAAAATGACCAGGTGACACTCATTGATTTTTGGGTTAAAAGGTTTAATGGAATTTTTAATGTGAAGTCTTAGTCTTTGGAATCAGAACTTTTAATCAATATGATTCTAAAATTACAGTGATAGAAAACACAAATTTCTCCAAGTGGACCATTGGGAGGGAAAGGCCACTCTAACCTAACCTTTTGGTTCCTGGACCCATGTAGTCTAGCCAGCTATCATGAATAATGCATCATCAAATGGTCAAACAATAGTTTAAAACTTAAATTGTATCTCAGATAAGCATCTTTCATTCCAGTCATATGGAGTATCTCAGCTATTCCAAGCCCATGCCCCAGCTGTCCCTTGGGAGGCCATCCAACTTTCTATCAGCCTGGTGGTTTCTGAGTGATGTGGTGTAGAGTAAGGATGATCAATCTCATGGTCATGTGCCCATCATCACATCTATTTTGCTGCCTTTGAGTGACTGAGTGATTGAGCTGCTGGCATTGACACTAAGACTCAGACTTTATGCTCATTCCCACAGGTCTTTCCGATATGTTATTCCCCAGACTTCTATGTCTCTGATCTTTAGTCTTGTATTTCTTGATCTCTCACCCAGTCAAATTATTCATCAATGCTCAAGAGACCTTACCTTGGACCACTTCTTCCACACAAACATGATGGCCAGAATGTCCCCATCCACTGAGAGGATTTCCCCTCTTCACTGTATATCAGGGAAACTCTTGAGTAAGGCTGTCGTTTGTAAGCAGTCCACTTTTTAAACTCACATAGCTGTGAAGTGAGGGGAAGACCCTAGTACAATGGAGATATGTGGCATGGGTTTTCAGCCTACCTGTGCTTTCCAGACCTGCTCAATCCCAAACATACAATTTTCGTTGAATGACAGATTGCTGCTGAGCCATGCAAACCCTATAGCTTGCTGGCAGTGATGATACCCTATTCATGATGTACAGCATCTGTCACATAATCTCCTGATGTTCCATAGTAGGCACTCAATCTCTATTAGGTATGTACCTGTAACAGTTCAGGAGCTACTTTTTGAATAGCAAATAGTTCTCTGATGCAGATGGCATTACCTTGCTCCAGAAACCTTGGGTTCTGACTGAGCTTCTACTACTAAGATTTGTCTGAGGGTCCATATGGTGTCCTTTTCAACTATTGATATTTGTAGCACTATTGGATCTGCTGGATCATATGGCCCAAGTAGTAGGGCTGCTTCTACTGCAGAGCTATTTCTTGCTCTGGGCCCACTCAAAGCTTGCAGCTGTCTGAATCATCCAATAAATGGGTTAGAGGAGGATTTCCAAGTGTAATATATAATATCTCCAAATTCCAAACATGCTTACCAAACATGGTGCCTCTTTCTTAGTGGTAGGAGGTGCAAAGTACAATAGCTTGTCTTTACCTTGGAGGGGATGTCCCTAGCATGCTCCAGACCTCACAGTTCCTAGAAACTTCACCGAATCTTTGTGTGGTTTTTTTCTCCTTCCTGCTGGCATGCATGGGTCTTTCCAAAACATAGGAAAGAATTACCATTTCCTGCTCCACAGGTCTGATTATCATGATATCAATATACTTGACCAGCATGATTTTCTGTAGACAGTCCATATGATTTAAGTCCCTTGGGACTTTAATTGTGACATATTTAATTGACCATATTGTGACAAAGATCAGAAGAGGTAGAGATGGTAAATATTTAAAATTATCTGTCCTAGGTTATTGTGAACTGCCTTTGATCCCGCTTCTCAATGAGCATAGGAAAGAATGCATTTGCTAAATCAGTATCCACATACCAAGTTAAAGAGGCTATTTGATCTAGTTCTAAATCTAGTAGAGACATCACATCCAGCACAACAACTGTAATTGGGACTATCATTTGGCTAAGTTTGTGCTATCCCCTCATCAGCTACCATGATCCATCTGGTTTTTGCAAAAACCATATCGTTGAATTAAATGGGAATATGATGAGAACCGCCATCTCTGCATGTTTTAAATCTTTGAGAGAGGTGCTATTCTCAGGTATAATCCCTCAGATGCAACATCACTTCGGATTTATTATCTTTGGTGAGGGAGAGAGAGAGTTTCAGGGACTCCCACTTGGCCTTGCCTACATTTATGGCTCTTACTTCGTAGGTCAGGAAACCAATATGAAGGTGCTGCCAGATGCTATGTGTATCTGTCTCTATTATGCAAGCTAGGACAAAGGACATAGACTCAGGGTGAACTCATGTGAGATGGGCTTTGACCAGGACTCCATTTATCTCCTGACATCTGTGAATCTCAACTCTAACAAGGTGTCAGGATAGTATTAAAGGCTTAATGGCATCTTAACAGTAGCTGTTGATCCATATCCATATCCTTATTCAAAAGCTGTTAAAAGATCTTTCTTCCCTTTCCACAGTTTATATTTACTTTGAAAAACAGCTATCAGTTCTTTGGGGGAAAGACTGGAGTAAGAGCTACTGATAATCCTTCTGTTATGTTGCAGGATCTTACCTCCAGGAGACCCCCCAACCCCTCAGATCTATGGATCTCAGTCTATACCCTCAATATGTATCCCCAGCAGGAACATTGACCTTCTTTGGAAGGAAAGGTATTATTCACCAAAAAAGTTGTAGGTTCTGGAAAATATGGAACAGCAGGAACCTTCTGGTTCCTGGTGAGTAACATCTTTCTTCCCAGAAAAGGGTCAGTACTTCTCACTATGACATGAAGAAACTTGAGCCTGTTCATTGGTCTAGTATCATATTGTAAGACATTTGTAAGGAGAAGCATGTCCATGGTCTCCAGGTAATGAGAGGTTACTTCTCCTCTGACAAGAAAGAAGTAGGCTTTTATGCAAATTCAAGTAAATTTGGGAGATTTAAGGTTCTCAAGTGTATCTACCCAAAGTTCCCCATTCCAGGTCTCAATGTCCTACCTCTTCTATATCAGACCTACACTTTAGTGTAGGTGGTTTATATCTCTAGCACCGTATAACCAAATATTGTGTCTGATTATTCATTACAGTTTGTCTTCCGGCCACAGGAGGTGTGGGTCCTTCTTGTAGACTTCTGTCATTCAAATTAGAGCTTGGAGTGATAGCTGTCATTTTATTCTTTCAGGGCTTCTGTCATTAACAAAGAGAAGCAGTACAATTATCCTTATAATAATAATAGTAATTATTATTATTTTTTGAGACAGAGTCTCACTCCGTCACCCAGGCTGGAGTGCAGTGGGTCAATCTCGGCTCACTGCAACTTCCACCTCCTGAGTTCAAGTGATTCTCCTGCCTCAGCCTCCCGAGTAGCTGGGATTACCTGCATGCGCCACCATGCCTGGCTAATTTTTGTGTTTTTAATAGAGATGAGGTTTCTCCATGTTGGCCAGGCTGGTCTTACCCTCCTGGCCTCAAGTGATTGGCCTGCCTCAGCCTCCCAAAGTGTTGGGATTACAGGCATGAGCCACCATGGCCAGCCATTGTTATAATGATCATTGCCTACATAAACTTCAAGAGCTAGAACTATTACAGAAGGCAATGTATCCCCTTTCATCTCTGCCCATCTCAATCCACCAAAGGTAAGAGTCTCACTATTTGTGATACTGTATGCCACCAGAAATGGGGTACTTGCTGCCATCTGTTTGGTAAGCAAGTGGGTTCCACAATCTCATCATGAAGATCTTCTTAGGACCACTTCTGGGACCATCTGATTTAAGTAAATGTAACAATTACCTTTTGCTGCATTATGAATCATCCCCATAATTAGTGGCTTTGAAAAGTAACCTTTTCTTCAGCTCAAGATTACATAGGTTGACAATTTAGGCAGGGCCTAGTGGGACGGTTCTTCAGGTTTGGGTTGGGTTACCTGTATGTCTATGATTGGCAATGAGTCAGTTGCAGATTAGCTTTGCAGATTTTGGCTAAGTGTTCTCACAGACAGTAACAGAAATGACTCGCACTGGCCCACGTAATGTCTCATTATTCTGCAGGCTAGTCTAGGCTTTTCAACATACAGAGGCTGAGTCCCAAGAGAGCAAGAAGAAGCATGTAACAATCATTTAGGCCTCAGCTCATATCACTTGCCACTGTCGCTTCTGTTGCTTTCCCTAAAGTAAAACAACTCACGAGATCAGCCCAGATTCCAGGAGTGGAGAAATGATCTTCATCTCTTTATGGGAGGAGCTGCAAAGTCACATTGCAAATATAGTGAGGGGGAAATTGCGGTCACTTTTGCCACGAATTTGTCAGAGTTGTATCCTCCCAGAGGCAGATCCGGACAAGGAATTGATCGCAAGCACTTAATATGAGAGGTGATTCTAAGGGGCACCAGTAAGGGTGCAGGTAAGTAAGACAGGGAATGGAGGGGAGTCCACACGAGGCGTGTTCATAAGAAGGTTATCACTGTAGGAAAGTGAACTCAATGCCACTGGATGCCTCTGGGAACCTATACAGAACCTGTGTCAGAATCGCCCATAGGAGGGAAAGGAAACTGAGGCATTTATACACCAGTTCCTCTCTGTCATTGTTTGAGGGCTGCCCCTGCAGGCTTTGACTCCCTAGGACTTCCGGCCCATCTGTAGCTGGCCATGCTTGCTTCGAGAGTCCCAGACGGCTACAGTACAAACCTCCGTGTATAAGGGAGTGGTGAGTGCCAGGGGATAGGGACTGAGCACTAATGACAAGGTGAGAACAGAAAAATGACCACAGGATTTGGCCACCTGATGGTCAGTGAGAACTTGACCAGAGCAGTTTCATTGGAGTGGTGGAAAGAGGTCTGTTTGAAGCAGGTTCAAGAAAGAAGGGAAGGAGAGGTGGAGAAAAAGGATGAAAGTCTTTTTAGTAGATTTCTGCAGTGAAGGAGAGTAGAGAAATGAAATGGGGTGGAATCTGAAAGGGGAGGGAAGGCAAGAGGAGGGTATTTTTTAACAATTGAGAGATACTGTAGGTAAATTGCACACAGACAGGAATGATTTGGCAGAGATGGAAAATGTGCTGCTACGAGAGGGAGAATGGGCAACTCTGGGAGTGTTGCTACTGGGGTGTGGGCAGGTGGTGGTTTAGACAGAGCATGCAGGAGTTCTTCTTGTTACTAAATATGGCATCCTCAAGAAGGCCTTTCCTGATATGCAATATAAGACAGATCTCGTCCACATTACCCTGTCCCATGTTGCTCTTTGTGCTTATCTCTATCTGAAATTATGTTGTTCATTTATTCTTTTATTGGCTTACTGTAATGTGAGCCCCATAAGAGCAAGTATCACCTCAGTCTTATTCAAATGCTTAGTCACATCGCTATCGCTTAGAACTAGACTGGATGTTATGGACACAAATGTTTGTTGAATAAATAATGAACTGATGAATGAATGAAAGAAAATAGCTTACTGGTGCCTTCTTCATATGATGGGATAGTTTTTCTGTAACAGGGTCAATTCTATCAGCCTTGGTCCCTGCCTAAGTGTGAGAGGCGGCAGTCATGTTGTATACCTGAACGACGATGGATCACATCTATATGCACGCTGCAGGGTCAACCACTTCCTTTAATTAGGAAATTTCACTTTTCAAATTGGGATCCTGGCAAAAGCACTTTCAGTGGAGTGATGGTGACAGAAGCCTGTTTGAAGTGGGAGAAAGAAAATGATCAGAAGGCTTTTGCCAACGAATATAGCAGGTCACTCCACTAACCCCACCCAGTTTGCCTTCCCTCTCAAATCCACCTGTTTCTTGATTTATTCCCTAACTCTCCCCAGCATTGTCCTCAACAAATAACTCAAATTCTGGCCTAAGTGAAAATTAATCCATTAATCTAATTGATTGATTGATTGCTTTGGGTTCTTTTTTTTTTTCTTTTTTCTGGTTACTATGTTTATTAGCCTTCCTGAGCAGAAGCAATTCCAATGCCTGTCTCCGAAGGGTAGTGGTACAAAAGGGAGAACCAGTCTCTCCTCCAGCTACGTGCCTGTGAACTCTCTGTGGGCGTGTGACATTACAAAAATAGAAGTGGCAGAGCAGTACTCTCAGCTACTTTGGATTGCAACACAGTGAAACGTAAAATTTGCTTTTGCAGTTGTTCTTTACAAAATGGTTCCCATTTAAATCATGAATGTTTTTCATTGTTTTTTCTTTCTTTTTAAAATCCATATTGGTTACTGAATAACAAGGTCAAGTTTGTTAATTCTGGTGGACTTGGCTGCAAGGTTGGCCAGTACTTACCACTATGTGAGCAGGTGCCCATCCTCCTGTTGAGAGCTTGCCTGCTCAATTACAGGGGCTAAAATGAATAGAATGTTGGAATGATTGACACCTAGTTGTGGACATTATTTTAATTTTCAAGTCCAATATTTTCCTATTTAATTCATGCTCAAAACAGTTCACTGGTGGTTCCGTGGAATTTAGCTTCTGATTTTGGTATATGAATCAGTATTTGCTATCAGTTCAAGATTTGGCACAGTGTTGCTTTTTAATATGATTAGAGTTTATAGTTTAAATCTAAATGTTAGTATTGAAATGAGTTTGCCTAACTAATGTAATAGGCAAATAGCTACTAGCCACATATAAAAGCTTGATTTAATATTTATTACATTCTGGAGATGAATGCTGTTAATTCTTAATTGTGTAGATGTGGATTATAAATATCATCAAATCCTCACTTTTCAGATTTTTGGCAGTAAATTATATTATAAAAACAAAGTTCACAACAAATGAGATACTGGATGTGCATAAAGTCTTGGTGTCCAGTATACATATTTGGAACATTCATATGGTTTGCAAGTGCTTGAATATTGCTTGGTCTAAATAAAGGATAAAGGATGCAGCCTTGTATGGGTAGAGAATATGACCTCGAATTCTAGGTCCAATCCCCTCACTGATAAGCTCTGTGCTCTTGGCCAAGTAATATTCGTAATCTTCCATTCCGAGCAAGCTCCAGTTTGCTCATCATAAAACAAGGCATAATCTAAATAAGTGGCCTTTATACTTTTCAGGATCATTTTGAATTGATGGCAGAAACTGTGTCCTATTCAATTTGTAGCCAATTGTTACAAATGTTATGTAGTTGTTTAATAAAAATATATTGTGTTAAATGAAACTGAAGACACCTTGAAAACTGTAAAGCAATATACACATAGAAATGGAATTGCAAAACGTGTTTAATTGTCTAATCCCTTTCTATTTTTTCCTCCTCCTCTTTATCTGCTTTCTCCTTTTCTACTCCAACCATTTTTCCTCTTCCTCTTCCTCTTCCTCTTCTTCTTCTTCTTGTTATAATAGAGAGTGAAAGAAAGAGCATTTTTTCCAGAGAAGCCTGTGTTTGCTCCCTGATATCCAGTACGAGTGCAATTCATGGCTAATGCAACTCATCCTGCTGGCTTTCTTAATTGTTTACTCCTTCACCCAATCATTTTCACTCACCAAACATTTCTGAGCATCTCTAGGGTACAGGTCTTGCTCTGTGGTTGATGTTAAGAGGTCAAGATGTGGCCCACATCTGTAAGCAGACTTGTTTTGGAGACAGGTGAGGAGAGCTGCTTAACTTTGGTCATGCACCATGGCCTGGCTGTTTAATCACAGAAAGGAAAAGTGAAATAGGAATTACTCTCCCTGACCCACATGTCCACAGCATTAGGAAATCAGGAGAATGGAGTACATTTTTCTCTTTCCATGGCAGTGGGCCTGTTCAGAAAGGCAGGAGAAATGCATAGAAACTTTCTAGATGGCAGAATGCTGTCCTCCTGCAGGGCACATGTGGTTCTGGAGGGGAAGGAGGTGACCAGACATCAGCGGGGGGGAAAAGAATAAATATTTGAGATTGTTTTGTTGATAAGAGACTGAGATGTCATTGAATACTTGTTGAAACACTCTTGGTTTGTTGAGGGTAAAGAGTTTTGACATTTTTTTTTCCAAATATCTACATCCACAGACACACAAATCCACAAATGCTACCAGAGGTACTAAAAGTCTTGTGGAATATGCTGCCCTTGAGATCCTTAAAACTGGGAGAGAGGTGCCAGGGAATGCCACCAAAAGGAAGAAAGAGATGACTTCCTAATGATGAAAATAATAACAATGATGAAAGAAAGAACTGGTAGATATGGTAGATATTGGATAATTCCTATGTGCCAGGGACTGTGCTAACTGCTTAATATGTATTATCTTCTTTAATTCTCAGAACAAGTATGTGAGGAGCACAAAGCTTATAAAGATGAGAAAAATGAGGCAACAAAGTTAAGGAAATTGCCTAAGATTACATAGTTTATGAAGTGAGATTTGAGCCTATCTAATCGACTCCAAAGCCCAGGCATTTAATCATTACATTATACTACATCTAGAGAGGTCTCAGAGACTCCAGCCATTCCAAAATGGAGTCTTTTGGTTACCACGTTACCTATATATTTATGAGATTTGGTTCTGCCACGTGACTGCATCTGCAAACACAAAACCCAAGCTTGTAATAAAGGAGTACTGTAATAACAGAGCATGCGAGGGAAACCAGTGGTGCCTGCAATTCCTTCCCTGCATCTTATTATATAGTAGCCATTGCCAGGACAGTGTCTACCCTCAAGGTGTGCAATTCCACTGAGAAAATAGAATTATTGTGGTCATACTGTGTTGAAAGGCTGCTCAGAGAAAGCAGAGAATGTACACTTTCGAGATGAGTGAGAATTTCATTCATTCATTTGTTCAAGAAATATTTACTGAGGACCTAACATGTGAAAGGTATCTTTCACCTAGTAGTGAAAGATACAGTCTCCACCACGAAGGGATTTACAGAGGGAAACAGATCAGAAAATCCATGCCACGCATGTGCTTGAATAGAGGAAACAGATCAGAAAATCTGTGCCACGCCTGTGCTTGAATAGAGGCATGCTCTGGGTGCCGTCAGCAAGCCAAGGAGGAGCATCAAACTCAGCCTTGAATCCAGGAGACAGGAGGGGGAAAAATAGGTAGCAGTTAGCCAGAAAGACTCAAGGGATATCTGCGGGAATCCCCATGGAGATCTCCCATGGGCAATAGGAGTTTGCCAGTTTTGAAAACCTCTCAGTCATTGGGTGATTTGCAGAACTGAAACAGGATGCTGCAAAGGTGTGAGCTTCAGTCTGCATAGGGCTTCAGTGCAGCTTCAGTCTCCAAAGGGCTTAGGTGAGACCCTCACATTTGGGTAAGACTTGTGGTGGCTTACACACTGTTTTTACACTATCATCTCATGTGATCTCCTTTGGGACAAATGTTATCATCTTCAGTTTACTGATGAGAATGCCACGTGACCTGCCCCTGTTCCCACGGTTCTCATAGGTAGGGCTACAATTCAGACTCTCATCCTGCACTCCAAGGCCCCTTCTCTGTACCACATGACCTCCCTCCAACTGGAGCGAAAGTTTGTCAAGAAGCTCAAGGCTTCTGAAAAGCCCCGAGGACAAAATACGCTATACTGGGTCTGGGTGGCTGCCAGGCATCAGGACCTGAGACAGTTGATGGGAGGCAAGCATGAAGGGCCTGGTGAGGAAGACAGCAGTGGCAGGAACAGGAAGGCAGGGGTGGATTCAGCATCTAAGAGGTCAGAGGGTCAGCCCAAAGATACAGTGACAGGGTTGTGTGGCTTTCATCCTCACTGGAAAAGTTTGAGTTTGTTGCCTCTGTTGGTCCCATGGGTGTTGACAAATCCTCCAGGGCTTATCAACTGTCCCACTGCCCCCACCAGCTAGGTCGGAGTCTCTTCTGACCAACCAAAATGAGTCTGAGCTATAAACAGCTAAACTAGCTCTGATGGTGCCAAGGTGCTGATTTGAGTCTTGCCTATACCATCCCTAACACAGTACACATTTACAGTATGATAATTGCCTGTTGTCTTCACTCCTCAAGTTCTCCAAGTCCAGTAGCTGGCATGGCGTGGGCATTGCTGAAAGGAATACAGCCCATGCTGAATTTTACCCATGATTAAGACAGGACTAGAGAAGCCCAGCCTCATGTATTAATTCTTCTTAATTTCAAAAACATGTATTGGCAAATTCTGGGTGTCGAGGACATCAGGAGAGTTGCATCCAATATGGATCATGGATTAGATTGTCTATGCCAAGGGAAATGACTTGCAAACAACTGGCCTTTGGGGGCTGCAATTATTCTTAAGCAATTGAAAAATTTGGAAATATGTGCAGTCATTTGTGGAAACAAAACACACCAGGAGTAGATCATTGTCTTATGTGTAGCCCAACACAGATGCAGTATCACGGAGCTGAGTGACTGCTGACTCCTAAGAAAGAGACTCACCGATAATTGAGGGGTGCACTGGCAATGGCTTACAGTCTGATTCTTTTAACATATATATGATATATATATATATATATTTATTTATTATATATATTAATATATAATATATATATAATATAATATTTCCCCAAAACCTGAACAGAAAGGGGGAAAGCAATAAGTCTAAGCTGCTAGGACATTATTTGAAATCAGCAAAAAGGGAACTGAGACACTGAGTTGAAGAATGAAGCTGTGAGGGTGTAACTATAAAAACATATTTGGCCTTTTAGGTGGGAAATACCCTTTGAAGTCATTCTGCCAAGAGGGGCCACCCAGCTAACAGCGCATGGGGCCAGAGGGCCTTGATGGCTAAAATGAAACCTAGTCTCTTTCTGGAGCCTTATGGAATCTGCGTTCTAGAGAGAGTGATTTCATGTCCTTGTTTGGAAGAAAGGCAGATTGGCATGAGCAGCCAAGGAGAGTTTTCAGATGGAACTCACTCTGCAGAGAGAGGGTGCCAAGGACTCCCGACTCCAAGGAAAATGTTGATGCTCCTCTGGCTTCTTTATCAGAAGAAGGGACTCAGCAATAAATCCCAGACTTAGTTTCCTCTCTGTTTTGTGACGAGATGCTTGTTTTACACTCTCTGGAGCCTCAGTGTATCTCTTTCTCTCACCGACTGCATTTTCTCTGCAGTGAAGTAGAGCCACCCTCCCCGGAGCCCTCACTCTCCAAGTGTGGGAGGGGCCATGGAGACCTGGTGGCAGGGAGTGGCATCTGCCCTCTTGGGAGCTGCAAAAGCTGCCTCCCCCTCAAACTGGCTCCGGTGAGATATTTTATGATGATGCTGTGAAGGGATGATTTGCAAAGCTCTCAGAGGTGCTGAGGAGCTGAGAAAAGCTGGCAGAAGCTAAGAAGAGATCTGAGGGCTGCCTGAAAGGATTTGGAGGGCTGTTGGGTGGAAGGGGGAGGAGGGCAGGAATAGAGGATTCCTACATGGCTGGACAGGGAGAGGGCCTCAAGGTCACCTAGCGCAGCTGCCTCATTTGACCGATGAAATTACAAGGTGAGGGTGGGGCATTTGCCTGGGATTGAAGTATGGAAATGATAGAAAAACTAATTTCAACTTAATATTCTTTCAATTAGGCTGCTACCATACAATGGAACGGGCCCCCCATAGAACAAATAACTCCTCTTCATTGCCAAAATATGAATAGGAGTTCAGTAGCACCCACAGAGGGGTCTGCAACGACATTGTCCAATAGAAATAGCATATAAGCTGGGCATATAATTTTAAAATCTCTACAAGTCATATTTAAAAAGTAAAAAGAAACAAGTGAAGTTAACTTTAATAATGTATTTTATTTAATTCAATACACCCAAAATATGATTGTTTCAACATATAATCAATATTCAATATAAAATTACTAATAAAATATTCTACATCCTAGGACTGAAATCCAGTGCTGCTTTTATATTTAGAGTACATCTCAACTCAGACTAGCCAGATTTCAAGTGCTCAATAGCTGTAGTCCTATGCCAGAAGAGAAATAGGATTAGATTTCTGATGTTGTTTTATTCCCTGAAAATAGATTTATTTCTATTCATTCAACAAATAAGTATTAAGCATCTAGTCTATTTAGGCAGCACGCTAAACTCTTCAACAATGATGGCTAAGCTGGGGTTTAAGAGTGTCTTCATGATTGGAGGAAACACGCCCACATTGAATAGAACTACCTTGCATTCTTTCATTTCTTTGTTATTGATGAGAAGGTGATAATTATGAATTTACTTATTAAGTGGACATAAAAATTTATACATATGTAACAAACCTGCGTGTTGTTCACATGTACCCTAGAACTTAAAGTATAATAAAAAATATACATATATAAAAAAATGTATACTTGACCAAAATGAGCCTCTCCCTCACCTGTAATGGCTGGTATGCCAGGCTCATGCCTCGGTGATCAGCTTCTGTCAGTCTCATTTTGACCAATCACAAGCTACACTCTGCATGTCTTCTTCAGAACCTTGAGTGCCTGCTGATGTGCTGTCATTGAGAAATGGATGGCTGCAGAAATGTGTGTATTAGTACTGAAGCAGGGAAATTGGAGAGAAGGCTTTTCTGGTGAGTACCATGAGGAGTTTGAACTTAGCAATTCTGCAAATAACAGAGAATAAAATTTCCAGTTGGAAATAATTCAGCAGGGAATTGGGAAATGTGGGCCTAGCAAGAAGCATAGACTCAGGGGTCCCTTCTCCATAGAGAAGTGAGGGTTGAAATCGTGGGAGTGAATGAGGTATCAGAGAGAGGAGAGAGAGAGATGCTCAGATGGGCTAGTGCTCAGCCGTGGGGAACACACACCTTTATGGAGAGAAAGAACCTTCAATTCAACTCCACATGTAATCTGAGTGCTTATTATGTGCCAGGTGCACTGTTCGATATGGGAATTAAGGGTGCAAAAGACAGTCACACTTCCTGCCCTCATGGAACATATAGTCAAAACTTACTGAAAAATACAGGACATCTGAGGCATGGAAGAGAGTCTACTCATTTCCACCTTAATATTACAGTGCAGTGGTAGCCCAGCTCTGGGCTGGCCCCTCCAGGGTGGACAACAGTCTTTCCTATTCTGGGGAGGCACTAAATCAGAACACCCTCTGACAGCCCTCAGAGATGTGAGGACTGACACCATGCGCTACCCCTGCCCTTAATTAACTGCATCCACACACAGCATGACGTGGATTTCCATCTCCTTGTTATGGGCCATTTCCCTCTCAGAGCTCTCTATGCCAATGCCCATCTTAAAGTGCATACCCCAGAAGAGTTCAACAAGCTCTGGCTCTGGTCTGGCCAGCAAAGAAAGAAAGATGACTGCTTTGCATTGCTCACATAGCATGTGCCACTCATGCACTCCACCAGATGCTATATGGCCATTAAATCAATCATTATCTCTTGAATCAATGAGAAGAGTTAGACTCCCTTGTTTTACAACCCAGACTCCTCTTAACATGCCCCAACTTCATTGACATAATTTTCCTTATTAAACTTATTACATCTTGCATTGTTCTATTTTATTTTGTTGTGATAAGAACACTTAACAGGAAATCTACTCTCTTACATTTTAAAGTCTATAACATGTTATTTTGTTGGCTGTAAGTAAAATGCTGTACTGTAGTTTTCTAGAACTTACTCATCTTTCTTGACTAGAATTGTGTGCCCATTGACTAGTAACTCAATTTCTGCTTTCCCTTGGCCTCTGGCGACCACCATTTCACTCTTTGATTCTGTGACCATTTTTAAATATCTTATGTAAATGGGATCATGCAATATTTGTCATTCTGTGTCTGACTTTTTTAACTTAGCATAATATCCTCAAGGTTCATCCACGTTGTTACGTATTGCAGAATTTCCTTCTTTGTAAAAGCAATAGTATTCCACTGTATGTGTGTATCACATTTTCTTTTTCCATTCATCTCTTGGTGGACATTTAGGTTGTTTCCACATCTTGGCTATTGTGAATACTGCTGCAATGCTATTATCTCTTCAAGATCCTGAGTTCAACTTTTTTGGATAAATACCCAAAAGTGGGATTGCTGGATCATATGGTGGCTCTATTTTTAATTTTTTGAGGAACCTTCATACTGTTTTCTATATAGCAGCTGCACCATTTTGCATTCTCGCTAGCAATGTGCAAGGATTACAGTTTTTTCACATCCTCGCCAACACTTGTCTTTTGTCTCTTCAACAAATGGTGTTGGGAAAACAATACCCACATTCGAAAGAATGAAATTGGACCCTTATCTTATGTCATACACAAAAATGAACTCAAAATGGATCAATGACTTAAATGTATGACCCAAAACTGTAAAACTCCTAAGAAAAAAAAACAGGAGAAAAGCTCTATGACGTTGATCTTGGCAGTGACTTCATGGATATGACACCAAAAGCACAGGCAACAGAAACAAAAATAAGTAAGTGGGACTACATCAAACTAAAAAGCTTCTGCACAGCAAAGAAAACAATCAACAGAGTGAAAAAAACAACCTACAAAATGTAAGAAAATATTTGCAAGTCATATGTCTGAAAAGTAGTTAATATCCAAAATATATAAGGAACTCCTACAACACAATGGTAAAAATAAATGAACAATTTGATTACAAAATGGGCCAAGGACTTGAATAGACATTTCTCCAAAGAAGACATAAGAATGCCAACAGCTATATGAAAAAATGCTTGGCCGGGCCCAGTGGCTCACCCCTGTAATCCCAGCACTTTGTGGGGCTGAGGGGGGAGGATCACCTGAAGTCAGGAGTTGGAGACCAGCCTGGCCAACTTAGCAAAACCCTGTCTCTACTAAAAATACAAAAATAAGCCGGGCGTGGTGGCAGGCACCTGTAATCCCAGCTACTCAGGAGTCTGAGGCAGGAGAATCGCTTGAACCCCAGAGGCAGAGGTTGTAGTGATCTGAGATATTGCACCATCACACTCCAGCCTGGGTGACAGAGCGAGACTCCATCTCAAAAAAAAAAAAAAAATTAATTCACTAATCATCAGAGAAATGTAAATCAAAACCACAAGATATCACCTCATACCTCTCAGGGTGGCTATTATCAAAAAACAGAAGACATCTTACGTTGCTTGTAACACAGTTCTCTTTTTCCCTATCCTCAATCTGGGTGTTGTTTCAGAGACACCAAAGATGAAGATTTTGCAGTTGATCCATTGTTCCAATCTGCTGATTCTTATTGTCTTCATTGTGTAAGCTATCACTGTAGGTAATTTTCTCAGCTTCACAGTATCCAAAAATGTAAATATCATGCCATCAAGGTCTTTATCTGAGACACTATTACATTTCAATAGGAAAGCCTCTTCAATGTAGATACTTCTACAAGCCAGGCCCAGAAACAAAGCAGTGAATATTGGAAATAAATTTTCAAGGAAGATTAAGGGGGTTAGCAATGTCAAACAGGGAGAACGAACTGTGTGGCTCCTGGGAAAGTCACAGAAAGAGTCACTTCACCCAGACAGGTGGAGCAGAAGCCAGGCTGTAGAAGTGAAGGTGACCTTGATGCACCAAAGCATTTCCTAAATGTAAACGCTTCCTGCTCACACTGACTTCCTGCCATAGATGATGTAGGTTCAAGAAATAATCTAATTCTTTAAGTGCTTTGAATTCCTTCAATTTCTACTAAATTCAAGTGCTCTCAGGAAACAAAGATGATGTTATTTTTCATTATTGATTTTATTCTTCTTCCAATGAAGTCACTCAGAAAAGATGTGAATGCCATGCTGAGTGGGTATTCTAGAACAGGCTCTGTTCTTTAGAAAAATAAATAAATAAATATATATATAAATAAATAAGCTCCGCTCCAGGCACTGAAAACAGATTCTGTTCTTCTGTAAAAGAAGAACAAGCATTTTCAGAATCTAATTTCTTATTTGCTTGCTTGCTACCACTATTCAGCTTACTCATAGTTTTTATCCATGGAGAGAAAGCAGCAAAACAAAGAACAGGAAATTTCACCACGCTGCAGGAACTGTCGAAATGGTTGTTCTGGGAAGAAGCTACATATTCACACTAACCACAATCCCCGTTCTGGATCCTCATTTCTTTTGTAGAATGATTGGCCAGAAAAGAATTGGACTTAAAATATCAACCCATATCAACAATAATGAAAATGAACAGGCTGATTATTAAAATAACATGTTAGACTATCTAGTAGACAACACCTTCTGTGTAAGAACTGTGCATGTTTTAGCTCATTTAATCTTCATAATCTCTAGAGCTCCATATGTTTATTATCCTTATTTTACAGATAAGAAAATGAAGGACACAGATAGAAAGTGGCAAAGCTGCATAGTGGACACCAGAGCCCCAGCTCTGAAATAGAATGTTACAGTGTCTGTACTTCACACGACAGTATAGGTGACTGTGTCCCACAGGTGAATTCACAAATGTCACCCCCATCTAAGCGTGGGGAACACACCCTTCAGAAGCATCTAGTGAATGCACGAAGAATAAATGAATCAATGTCAGCAACGGGGATGCTGTTGGAGAAGGAGAGTAACCTTGGAAATTCCATAAATGCTATTAATTCACACTAGCAAATCAGATCCATGAAACAATAAGGAAAGAAATTAGTTAAAAACCTGGCAGGTATTCTATAATTATAAATCATCATGATAACAGCAATATAACAATAATGAACATTAAACGTATCCTGCCACCAGTGATCTGTTGTTATCAGACAAAATCCAAGTGTTTGGTATAAGGGTCATAGGGCCAAGAAGCAGTTGCATTTCATAGTCAAAGGTCAGAAATGGAATTGTTGGATCAGTGCTGTCTGATAGAACTTTCTGTGAAGATGAAATGTTCTACGTCTGCTTCTTCAACATGGTAGCTGCTAGCTAGCCACATGTGGCCATTGGGTACTTGAAATGTGGCCAGTGTGACTGAAGAATTGAATTTTAATTTTATGTAATTTTAATTAATTCAAATTTAAATTGTTACATGAGGCTAGTTGCTCCTGTATTGGACAGAGCAGACGTTGAGAATGCAATGATCTTTTTTTCCAGAATCGTGTTATCCATAAGAAAAGCAAGAACTTGGTGAATTAATTTAGCATCAAATCTGAGCTTCACAGCCCTAGTATTTTCTCATTCTAACTAATAGGGGTCGGGCTGTCTACACATAAATGCCTCACCCAAACCTGAACAGAAAGGGGGAAAGCAATGATTCCAAGCTGCTAGAACATTATTTGAAGTCAGCAAAAAGGGGACTGAGACTCTGAGCTGGCTGGCTAGGGGGAGCATCCTGAAAGCCCCGTGGCCGACGACCACCCGAAATTCAGCGGGCAGTTGGTATCGTTTCACTGCAAACAACCCACAGCTGAAAAGAAATGAGCTTGCAAGTTCAGATCCTCAGCCAGCAGGTCAGACTGCAAGTGATAAAAGGAGCCATCACTCCCATTGGCTGTGGGGTGAAGAATGTCAGAAATGCGGTTTGTGAGAGAAAAAGAAACAGGTGCAGAGCTACATCTGTCTCCTTCTTCATAGTCCTCAGGGTTGCATCTGGGTTGCCCTGTGCACCTGAGGGGTGCATAACACCTTTTCCTCCCAGGGGGTGAAGGCCAAAGAGGCCCTGGGCAGCAACAATCAATTATACTGAGTCTCCCTCAGCTGACTCCAGCCTTGTTCTCTTTTACTGCTTCTCCTCTCCCTTCTTCTCTGTGTAAGACATATCTCTCTGCCCAAGCTCAGAGCTGGTTCCTGCACAGGGACAACAGATCTCAACTAAGCCCATCCCTTGGGGGCGCCCACAGGAGAATATAGGTGACTGTGTCCCACAGGTGCATCCACAAATGCCATGACCTATATTCTTGAGGCAGGGTGAGAACGATGAGAAAACTCGAAGAAGCTGCAGTCTGGCCTTTCTGCTGCAATAATAGATTCCAGAATTGGGAGGCAGCCCAAGGGCTGATCCGCGCCACACTACCCAAAGGAAATACAGCCCAGAGAAGGTGCGTGGGAAACAGAATTTGTATTTGGGTGAGAATGTGTCTATTTCTTCACCAAAGACCAGGGCTTGGCATGCTTGAAATGGAAAGGTATCCATTTTCTTACGGAGTTTTAGTGCCACCTAAAATTTGACAGACATTGACCCATGCCTAATCCTAATAAGAAAGCCATTCTAGAGAATTCTTCGGCTGCAAACAGAAAGGTAACTCAGATTAAATGTTGTTAGAGGCATGGTTGCATCAGTGATCTTTCCCCAGGGCACAGGGCTGCTTGGCAATCTATTGCTTCAGGAAAGTCAAGTTTATAAATATGAACCAAACCCATTTGACACACACAAATCCATGGTATGCATTCTTTATTTTCAAGTACATATCTGAAGGTTTAAGGCCTTTTTTCTCAGAAGCAGCCAAAAGCAGATGGTCAAAGTCTGATTTCTGGGTTCAGAGTCCTCTGAGAAGGCTGAGTGGCATAGCGTGATTTCAGGAGCAGCAGGAAAAGACATTGACTGTGAAAATGCCTCCCAGCCTCAGGCTGAGATTCCTCTCTTCCCCCTGACACTGCCTGAAAAGCACCAGGCTTTCCTTCGGGAGATTATCATTCTCTCTTCCTTCTCCGTGACTAGGAACACTTGGAGCTTGATGGAGTGCAGGGGCGTTTGCATTCAGGAGGAGGAGGAAGGGCAGTTTGAGAGCATGTGGGCCTAGGACCCAAGGATAGCAGAGAGAATGTGACAGGGGGTGGAAAGACATCAGGGACAAATTTTCCTACTCAAAAGTTTGCTTAGGCCAACCTGTTGTTTAAAATAAGGCTTTTGGTGATGCCCAAGCTCTGGACCCACATTTTCAGCTGCTTTTTTGATCGCTCCATCCTAGTGTCATATGCACATCTTATAAGCATGGTCATGTCCTAAACTGAACTTGGCCTCCTCTACTTCACAGCATGTCAGTGAATACCACCCCCACACACTCCACTGCCTGGCCTCAGGAACCTCAGCATTGCCTCCAACTCCTCCCTCATGTGCACCATGATATCAAATTAGTCAGCAAATCCTGGTTATTCTACCCCCACAGTGTCTCTTGGATTTATCTCCTACTGCATTTCCTATTTGCATTTCTGTTGCTACTGCCCTAATTCAGATCATCATTCCCTCTTGCCCTCACTAAAGCCATGGTTTCCCTTGGGTTTCCGTGCTGCTAATGCATCCTACACAATGGGAACAAAGGACTAGCCTGCTAAAAAATAATAACTCTAATAATGTTTCTCCCCGCTCAGAACGTCTGCTGTCTTCCTCTTGCATACAGAACAAAACACAAACTCCTTGGCCTAGATTTTAAGATTCTCCCTGTTATGGGTTGAATTCTGGTCATGTCTTGCCCTCCCACCCCCAAATTCCTGTGTCGAAGGCCTAACCCCCAATACCTCAGAATGCAACCATATTTGAAGATAGGACCTTTAAAATGGTGATTAAGTTACACTGAGGCCATTAGGGTGGACCCTGATCCAATGTCGCTGGTATCCTTATAAGAAGAGGAAACTTGGACATGCAGAGAGATGTGTGCATACATCTGTGACCATGTGAGGATGCAGTGATAGACAGCTTCGTGCAAGCCAAGGGGAGAGGCCTCAGGAGAAAGCAACCCTGCTGACACCTTGACTTTGGAGTTCTAGCCTGCAGAACTGTGAGGAAATCAATCTGGTATTTAAGGCACCCAGGCTATGGTATTTGTTATGGCAGCGCTAGGAAACTAGTAAACTCACCAGTTAGCCCCCATCTGCATGTTCTAACTGATCTTCTGGTACTTTCTCTCACTGCCCATACATGCTAAGCCCTAGCCTCGGAGGTTCTTATGTGATCTGTGGTCTTGAACCTTCTGTCTTTGCGGTGATGACCCCTCTGCATAGACTGCTCTTTCCACACTGCTTGCCTCTGGACTCAGCTCACACCTCACATCCTCTAACAACATGGAATGAGCCATTGCAGATGAACACACCTCTCCTTGCTCTCTGTTTGTTTTGCCTACCCCAAATCTATTCTCCCTCTACTTCTCCTTCTCATTCTTGTTGGAGGGATGAGCAGCAAAGTGCCTAGGTGAAAAAAAAATGCATTTCTCAGCCTCTCTCTAGGCCCAGAGGTTATGGAGCACTGGTCTGGCCAGTGAGATGTTAATGGAAGTAGGTGGGTGGGATTCAAGGAGAAAGCCTCTAAAATGGGCTGCAGATGCAGCTGGCATTGGTCTGCCTTTTGCTCTTTTCCTCCTTCCTTCTTTTATCTCCTTAAAACACAATGTGACACAGTGGCTAGAGTAACCACTTTGAAACTACAAGGGACCATCAAGATTGTTGCAGATGCTAAATGTCCTCACCACATAAAAATAAGTATGGAGGTGATGGAGATGTTAAACACCTTGATTTAACCATTTCACTGTGTATGCATAGGTGGAGATCTCACATTGTATACTGTCAATGTATACAATTTTTATTGGTCAATTACATCTTAATAAAGCTGGGGGAAAACAGTTGTTGCAAAGACCTTGACCCTAACATCTTTGAAGCCTTGAAGCAACACCAGCAACCATGAACTTCTGGAATTCTAGTTGTATAGGAAAAATAAAGTCCTTACTTGTTTGAGCCACTTTTCCCTAGGACTTCTTTTATTCGTAATGAAATATAATTCCTCACAGATAAAACTTCCATAGCATTTAGTTTCTTGAGCAAAACACCATCTGGCTTAGTGGAGCTGCTTGTATGTCCATCATCCTTCACTTGTAAGTTCTCCAGGGGCAGGAGGCCCCAGTTTTATTTATCTTGTGTCTTGCACCACTCCCAGTGCATGATGAGTGCTCAGTAAATACTTGTAGAATTTTCTGGGTCTTCGTGAATCTTAGCAAAGGGGAGAAGCCCATGTCAGCCATGGCTTTTCCAGCATGAGGCTTGTTCTGCTGCAGGTTTCAAGAGAACGAAGACATGCCATGAGGTTGTGGTTAAAGGTCAGCCATAAACCACATCAGTATGGATTATCTTCCTGAAGGAAGTTATTCCAACTGCACCATTTGGATCCAAGTCTGGGTCTTCCAGACAAATCTTCAGTTTCTCTCATGTTGCACATACATTTGGGATCAGAGCATCAATGCAGATCTTCCTTGATAGAAAGGGGACATATTTGCAACACACAAAATACCAGACTGGGCAGCTTAAACAACATAAATGTATTTCTCACAGTTCTGGAAGCTGGAAGTCCAAGGTCAAGGTGTTGTCAGGGTGGGTTCCTTCCGAGGGCTCTCTCCTTGGCTTGCAGACGGTGTCCTTTTTCCTTGTGTCCTCACATGCCCTTCTCTCTCTTCACATGCATCCCTTGTGTCTTTTCCTCCTCTTAAAAATAGACACCAGTCATAATCCATTAGAGCCCTACTTTAATGGCCTCATTTTAAGTTAATCACCTATTTAAGGCCCTATCTCCAAATAAAGTCACATTCTGAGGTACTGGGGGTTGGAACTTCAACAGTGTTTTGAGAGATGAGGGAAACAACTTTGTCCATGCCTTTATATGTGGTTACATTGGAGTGTGTGTGTGCATGCATGTGTACCAATTAATGTAGAACATGATTAGAACTGAAGGAACATTGAAGAATGCCTCATTCCAAACTCCCATTGTAGAGGTGAAGAGATGACACCCAGCAGTGGTTTGGCGACCAAGTTGGGCCTGAAACCGATGCACTTCCCCCATGCAGCTCTCCATTAAGGAGTAAAGGTGAGAACATAGGTTCAGAACATTCTGCTGAAATGAGGAGGACAGGGTAGATCATTAATCTCCATTCGATGTTCACAGCAGTACTTCCTAAGCTGTTTTCTAAGGAACGTTAGTCTTGCAAACTGTTGATTAGTATTTTATAAGTTTTTTCTGCAGTCTCATGAGGAAGAAAAGGAAAAAAGAAAGGAAGGAAGGAGAAGAAAGAAAGAAAGAGAAGGAAGGAAGAAAGAATGAAAGAATGGAGGGAGAGGAGGAGGGAGGAAGGAAAATAAAACTGTGACCCGTTCTTACTTAAACTTGGTTTAAACCACAGAAAAGCATATCCCATGGCTAAGATACTCTCTTTTTGGTGGGGTGGCCCCTGCAGTGAAATAGCTGTGTAGGTGGCATTTACACTTGTAATTCCTGTCCTATAAGGGAAATAGATTTGCCTGTTAGGTGAGAAGCAATGGAAAATGAGCAGTTTTTACTGTGTGTTGAGATCTCACCTTGAAGTCACGAAGGATAATGGCTAATAAAGCTTTCGAGTGGGAGAGACTGTGCCTGAGCTAGCGTCTCCTGATGAGCTGGGCTGGGAAGTGTGTCTGCAGGAAGAATTGTCTCTGGACCTGTGATGGCTTATTTAGCCTGAGGTCACGCAACAGGGGCTGTCTTCAACTATGAAGCACAAATGAAGTTGTTTGGGTTCCTCTGCCTGTGAGTCAGTGGCGTTACATGTACAACATGGCTCTTGTTGGTCATTTACAGAGGGAGGAAGTGAGATCAACAATATTTATTCACGCCTCATTACTTCTGCCCTGCAGAAAGCCATAATCCCAAGTTTATGACTGCCTGAAACCATTAGATTTTTTTAAATCTGGTTTTCAGAATCTATTTTCAAAAATCTATTTGCTCACCCCACCTACATTTGGCAGAATGAAAGTTACAGAGTATAACAAGAATAAATACTCTGACATTTTTCTCTAAGAATACTAAAATAAACATATTGCATACTGAGTTTATATGAGATTTTAAATATTTTAACGTTCAAACCTAAAACATTTGATTTTTAATGGTTATAATTGGAAATAGCCTTGTGTATGAAAGTCTCCTTTTTCTGTTTTTACATGAGAAAACATCTTATAGAAAATTGAATCAATGAAGTGTGTGGATGAGTATTGCATATTTTTATGAGGGTATTTCTTTATTCATATAGAAAGTGTGTATAAAGAATCTGCTAGGTATTATTGTGTTACAGGAAGGGTGACTGACTGTCTTGGCTTCCAGGAGATTGAAGAGTTAGTGTTAAAACCAGGATAAGTTGGTCACCCTGGTTAGACCTGGAGAGTCACTGATAAATAAAATATGGTCAAATAGTGGTATGGCAGTGCCTTGGGAGAAGTACTTTCTGTTTGCTTATAGGAACACAAAGTAGGCTACCAATTTAACAAATTCCAATTTTTTTTTTTTACTTCAATCTAAAAGACCCTTGAGGCCAGGAGCAGTGGCTTACATCTGTAATCCCAGCACTTTGGAAGGCCAAGCGGGCGGATCACCTGAGGTCAGGAGTCCGAGACCAGCCTGGCCAACACGGCGAAACCCTGTCTGTACTAAAAATACAAAAATTAGCTAAGTGTGGTGGTGCATGCCTGTAATCCCAACTACTCGGGAGGCTGAGGCAGGAGAATTGCTTGAACCTGGGAGGTGGAGGTTGCAGTGAGCCAAGATTGTGCCACTGCACTCCAGACTGGGCAAAAAGAGCAAAACTCCATCTCAAAAAATTAAATAAATAAATAAATAAAACCCTTGGGTGTTTTTGTTTTGTTTTGCTTTGTTGAAGGTTGTACTCCAGAACAGAACTAGTATAACAGTTTGGGTGTGATTGGGGGATAAAAAAGAAAGAGAGCAGATAAGAGAAAAAAGAGAGAAAGAAAGAGAAGAAAAGGAAGGGTGGAAGGATGACAGGAAAGGAGGGAGGGAGGAAAGGAGGAAGGACGGGAGAAGGGAGAGAGAGGGAGGGAGGGCGGGAGGAAGAGAGGCATGCCAAGCTTTGGCAGGCAGAGTCTATGAGACACAGCCTAGAATTTTACTCCATACACCTGCTCTTAGGAAGACATCAGCATTTTCAATAAAGTTCTGCAAAGGGCAATTCAGTCTTTCTAAACTCCAAAAACCTGTGATGTGGTAGAAAGGAAGCCAGAGTGTAATTTGCCCCAGCTTCAGCTATTTCAGTTCCACCAAGGCCCAGGTCTTTCCTGTTTTGTTCAGCAGCTAGATTAGCTCCTGGCATATTACAGGAGTTCAGTAAATGTTAGTTAAATAAATGAGTAAATAAGAATAAATCCTGGCCGGGTGCGGTGGCTCATGCCTGTAATCCCAGCACTTTGGGAGGCCAAAGTGGATCACTTGAGGTCAGGAGTTTGAGACCAGGCTGGCCAACATGGTGAAACCCCGTCTCTACTAAAAAAAAAAATGAGCTGGGCATGGTGGCACAAGCCTGTAATCCCAGCTACTCAGGAGGCTGAGGCACGAGAATTGCTTGAGCCTGGGAGGTGGAGGTTGCAGGAAGCCAAGATTGTGCCACTGCACTCCAGCCTGGGTGACAAGAGTAAGACTCCGTCTCGGAAAAAAAAAAGAAGAATGAATCCTGTGATTGTGTAATTTATGCCTATTGCGTGTTAAAAACCTCAAACTTCACAGAACTTACGATTTATTAAATTAGCTACTTCTTGCTTGCCCAAGGTTAACAACGTATTTGTGTAATTTGTACACATTACAAAGTTGCTTTTTGTTGCACCTTTCTCAGAAATATGCAGACTTATGACTTAATCTGAGTGATTACCTGAAAGTGGACATAGTGTTTAGAATAATGATGCTCATGGTTTTAGTAAAAGGCGAAAGATTTTTTTTTTTTTTTTTTTTTTTTGAGACGGAGTCTCGCTCTGTCGCCCAGGCTGGAGCACAGTGGCGTGATCTCGGCTCACTGCAAGCTCCGCCCGCTGGGTTCACGCCATTCTCCTGCCTCAGCCTCCCGCGTATCTGGGACTACAGGCGCCCGCCACCACGACCAGCTAATTTTTTGTATATTTAGTAGAGACGGGGTTTCACCGTGTTAGCCAGGATGGTCTCGATCTCCTGACCTCGTGATCCACCCGCCTCGGCCTCCCAAAGTGCTGGGATTACAGGCGTGAGCCACCGCGCCCGGCCAAGGCGAAAGATTTATACCATCTGTAAAGGAACCAGAGTGTGTGCTTATGGTTTTAGTATACTCCATGTCACATTTGGGTCTGCAAAGGAGAGATTGTTTACTTTCCCAGACACATAAATCTATTTCAGGTGCTTGCTTGTCCACAGAAACCATAGTTACATGCTTTGCAGTTCAGAGCCTGCTGAAGTGATGCAGTATGCAAAGGTGTCGTCCTATATACAGATTCTGTGTGGGAACTGAAGGGGAGAAATAGCACCACTCTGTGGATCACAGTTGTGACATCGTGTTTGGCATCCCTTCTATCAACTCCGTCTACTCCATTTCCACCTTTGTCTCCACTCCTGGCTGCCCGGGGCTTTCAGGCTTTCTGGCTCCTTCCCCCAAGACAGTGTCTTCAAGATGTGTCTGGGCAGCGGCGGGGTGGGTGGGGAGGGGGGCAGTGGTGGTGGTGGTGGTGGTGGTGGTGGTGGAGGGGTCACTGCAAAAGGATTTCTTGAGGATTTATTTTTAATGCTGATTTCAGAGCTCCCCCACCCCCAATAACTACCCTGCTAGTTATTTTGCTCCCCTATCCCAGCTCTATGCTCTGGGAGGTTGACCTTGATTAACTGCATCCCTGGCTCCTTGCCTGTCTAGTTCTGTTGGCCTCAGTGAATGGTGGCCCTAAGGGGAGACCAGAGAACAGGAGGCGAGAGGGGTCGGCATGCTTCTTCCGGTTCCCTCCCTGCTTGGTCCTCACACCCCTGCTCCTGCTGCATGGCCCCTCCACTTGGACTGGCTTCATCAGAGCTCCAGTGCTCACTGGGCTTGGGTACCACAATCTCCATCCTTTGCCTCTTCAGCCCTAGGAGCAGTTCTACCTTTCTGCTGCCATTGGTTTCTGGGTGCTTCAGCATTCCTGCTGGTCTTCTCAAACCTGTCCTCATCTAAGTGAGGAATCCCTCCTCTTAGTACCTTCATTTGAGGCACCTGAAATGAATTCTGTCTACTGGTGAGACCCTCACACATATGCCCATTATTTTGTGTATTTTGCGGGGGGGGGGGGGGTAAATTTTTTAAATTTATTTTTTGTATATGAGTACGTTATTTAGCAGTGATTTCCGAGATTTTGGTGCACCCATCACCCAAGCAGTGTACACTGTACCATATTTGTAGTCTTTTATCCCTCACCCACCTCCTACCCTTTCCCCTTGAGTCCTGGAAGTCCGTTGTATCATTCTTATGCATTTGCATCCTCATAGTTTAACTCCCACTTTTAAGTGCGAACATACGATGTTTGGTTTTCCATTCCTGAGCTACTTCACTTAGAATAATAGTCTCTAATTCCATCCAGGTTGCTGCGAATGCCATTATTTTGTTCCTTCTTACGGTTGAGTAGTATTCCATGTTGAGTACACACACATACCATATATATCACATTTTCTTTATCCACTCATTGATTGGTGGGCATTTTGGGCTAGTTCCATATTTTTGCAATTGTGAATTGTGCTGCTATAAACATGCATGTGCAAGTATGTTTTTCATGTAATGAATTCTGTCCTCTGGGCAGATACCCAGTAGTAGGATTGCTGGATCAAATGATAGGTCTACTTGTAGTTATTTAAGGACTCTCCACACTGTTTTCCATAGTAGTTGTACTAGTTTACATTCCCACCAACATTGTAAAACTGTTCCCTTTTCACCACATCCATGGCAACATCTACTATTTTTTGATTTTTTGATTATGACCATTCTTGCAGGAGTAAGATGATATCGCACTGTGGTTTTGACTTGCATTTCCCTGATAATTAGTCATGTTGAGCATTTTTTCATATGTTTGTTGGCCATTTGTGTATCTTCTTTTGAGAATTTTCTATTCATATCCTTGGCCCAATTTCTGAAGGGATTGTTTTTTTCTTGCTGATTTGTTTGAGTTCCTTGTAGATTCTGGATATTAGTCTGTTGGAAGCATAGATTGTAAAGATTTTTTCCACTCCGTGGGTTGTCTGTTTACTGTGCTGATTATGTCTTTTGCTGTGCAAAAGCTTTTTAGTTTAATTCAGTCCCATCTATTTATCTTTGTTTCTGTTTTGAGCTCTTGGTCATAAAGTCTTTGCATAAACCAATGTCTAGAAGTGTTTTTCCAATGTTATCTTCTGGGATTTTTATGGTTTCAGGTCTTAGATTTAAGTCCTTGATCCATCTTGAGTTGATTTTTGTTTAAGTTGAGAGATGAGGATCCAGTTTCATTCTTCTACATGTGGCTTGCCAATTATCCCAGCATCATTTGTTGAATAGGGCGACCTTTCCCCACTTTATGTTTTTGTTTGCTTTATCAAATATCAGTTGGCTGTAAATATTTGGGTTTATTTCTAGGTTCTCTATTCTGTTCCATTTGTCTATATGCCTATTTTTAAACCAGTACCATGCTGTTTTGGTGACCATGGCCTTATAGTATAGTTTGAAGTTGGGTAATGTGATGCCTCCAGATTTGTTCTTTTTGCGTAGTCTTTCTTTGGCTATACAGGCTCTTTTTTTGGCACCATATGAATTTTAGGATTATTTTTTCTAGTTCTGTGAAGAATGATGGTGGTATTTTGATGGGAATTGCATTGAATTTATAGATTGCTTTTGGCAGTATGGTCATTTTTACGATATTGATTCTACCCATCCATGATCATGGGATGTATTTCCATTTGTTTGTGTCGTCTATTATTTCTTTCAGCAGTGCTTTGTAGTTTTCCTTGCAGAGATCTTTCACCTCCTTGGTTAGGTGTATTCCTAAGTATTTTATTTTTTTTACAGTTATTGTAAAAGGCGTTGAGTTCTTGATTTGATTCTCAGCTTGGTCACTCTTGGTGTATAGCAGAACTACTGATTCATGTACATTAATTTTGTATCCTGAAACTGTATGCTGAATTCATTTACCAGTTCTAGGAGCTTTTTGGATGTATCTTTAGGGTTTTCTAGGTATACAATCATGTCATCAGCAAACAGTGACAGTTTAACTTCCTCTTTACTGATGTGGATATCCTTTATCTCTTTTTCTTGTCTGATTGCTCTGGCTAGGACTTCCAGTAGTATCTTGAATAGAAATGGAGAAAGTGGGAATCCTTGTTTTGTTAAGGTTCTCAGGGGAGTGCTTTCAACTTTATTCCATTCATTATAATGTTGGCTGTGGGTTTGTCTGAGATGATCTTTATTACCTTAAGTTATGTCCCTTCTATGCCAATTTGACTGAGGGTTTTAATCACAAAGAGATGCTAGTTTTTGTCTCATGTTTTTTCTGCATCTATTGAGATAATCATGTGATTTTTGTTTTTAATGCTGTTTATGTGGTGTATCGCATTTATTGACTTGTGTATGTTAAACCATCTCTGCATCCCTGGTATGAAACCCACTTGATCATGATTAATTATCTTTTTGATATGCTATTGGATTCAGTTAGCTAGTATTTTGTTGAGGATTTTTGCATCTATGTTCATCAGGGATATTGGTCTGTAGTTTTCTTTTTTTGTTATGCCCTTTCCTGGTTTTGGTATTAGGGTGATACTGACTTCATAGAATGATTTAGGGAGGATTCCCTCTTTTTCTTTCTTTTGGAACAGTGTCAAGAGGATTAATACCAATTCTTCTTTGAATTCTGATAGAATTCAGCTGTGAATCCATTGGGTCCTGGACTTTTTTTTTGGTAACTTTTTAATTATTAATACTATTTCAATCTCACTGCTTGTTATTTGTGTATTCAGAGTTTCTATTTCTTTCTGGTTTAATTTAGGAGGGTTGTGTCTTTCCAGGAATGTATCCATCTTCTCTAGGTTTTCTAGTTTATGTGCATAAAGGTGTTCGTAGTACCCTTGAATGATCTTTTGTATTTCTGTGGTATTGGTTGTAATGTCTCCAGTTTGGTTTCTAATTGAGCTTATTTAGATCTTCTCTCTTCTTTCCTTGGTTAATCTCACTAGTGGTCAATCAATTTTATATCTTTTCAAAGAACCAGCTTTTGGTTTTATTTATCTTTTGTAATTTTTTTTGTTTCAATTTCATTTAGTTCTATTCTGATTTTGGTTATTTCTTTTCTTCTTCTGGGTTTTGGTTTGGTTTGTTCTTGTTTCTCTAGTTCCTTGAGGTGTGACCTTAGATTGTCTATTTGTGCTCTCTTAGGCTTTTTGATGTAGGCATGTAATGCTGTGAACTTTCCTCTTAGCACTGCTTTTGCTGTATTACGGAGGTTTTGGTAGGTTATGTCATTATTATCATTCAGTTCAAAGAATTTTTAAATTTCCGTCTTTATTTCATTGTTAACCCAATGATTATTCAGGAGGAGCTTATTTTATTTCCGTGTATTTTCATGGTTTTGAGGGTTCCTTTTGGAGTTGATTTCCAATTTCATTCCACTGTGGTCTGAGAGGGTATTTGACATCATTTCAGTTTTCTTAAATTTGCTGAGACTTGTTTTCTGGCCTATCATATGGTCTATTTTGGAGAATTTCCATGTGCTGATGAATAGAATGTACATTCTGTAGTTGTTGAGTAGAATCTTCTGTAAATATCTGTTAAGTTTGTTTATTCTAGGGTATAGTTTAAGTCCATTGTTTCTTTGATGATTTTCTGTCTTGATGACCTGTCTAGGGCTGTCAGTGGAGTATTGAAGTCCCCCACTACTCTTGTGTTGCCATCTATCTCATTCCTTAGGTCTAGTAGTGATTGTTTTATAAATTTGGAGGCTCCAGTGTTAGCTGCATATGTATTTAGGACTGTGATATTTTCCTGTTGGACTAGTCATTTTATCATTATATAATGTCCCTCTTTGTCCTTTTTAATTGCTCTTGCTTTAAAGTTTGTTTTGTCTGATATGAGTAGCTACTCCTGCTCATTTTTGGTGTCCATTTGCATGGAATATCTTTTTCCACCCCTTAGCCTTAAGTTTATGTGAGTCCTTATGTGTCAGGTGACTCTCTCAAAAACAACAGATACTTGGTTGGGAAATTCTTAGTCATTCTGCTATTCTGTATATTTTAAGTGAAGCATTTAGGTCATTAACATTCGGCATTAGTATTGAGATGTGAGGTACTATTCTGTTCATCATGCTAGTGGTTGCCTGAATACCTTGCATTTTTTTTCATTGTGTTATTGTTTTATAGGTCCTGTGATATTATGCTATAAGGAGATTCTATTTCAAGGATTTGTTTCAAGATTTAGAGCTCCTTTTAGCAGTTCCTGTAGTGCTGGCTTGGTAGTGGTGAATTCTCTCAGCATTTGATTGTCTGAAAAAGACTGTATCTTTCCTTCATTTATGAAGCTTAGTTTCATTGGATACCAAATTCTTGGCTGATAATTCTTTTATTTAAGGAGGCTAAAGATAGGGACTCCAATCCCTTCTAGCTTGTAGGGTTTCTGCTGAGAAATCCGCTGTTAATCTAACAGGTTTTCCTTTACAGGTTACCTGATGCTTTTGCCTCATAGCTCTTAAGATTATTTTCTTCATCTTGACTTTAGATAACCTGATGAGTATGTGCCATGGTGATGATCTTTTCGTGATGAATTTCCCAGGTGTTCTTTGAGCTTCTTGTATTTGGATGTCTAGATGTCTAACAAGGCTGGATAAATTTTCCTTGATTATTCCCTCAGATATGTTTGTCAAACTTTCAGATTTTTCTTCTTCCTCAGGAACACCAATTATTCTTAAATTTGGTCATTTAACATAATCCCAAATTTCCTGCAGGCTTTGTTCATTTCTTACAGTTCTTTTTTCTTTGTCTTTGTTGGATTGAGTTAATTCAAAAGACTTGCCTTCAAGCTCTGAATTTCTTTCTCCTACTTGTTCAATTCTATTGCTGAAACTTTCCAGTGCCTTTTGCATTTCTGTTAGTGTACCCTTCATTTCCAAAAGTTGTAATTGTTTTTCATTTATGCTATCTATTTCACTGGAGATTTTTCCATTCATATCATGTATCTTTTTTTATTTCTTTAAGTTGAACTTTACCTTTCTCTGGTACCTCCTTGGCATATGCCTGTTGAATTGGACTGTCTGGCAGCAGACCCCAGGAACATGCTTTTCTTTTTTTTCTTTTTCATTATTGTTTTTAATTGTGGTAAAATACATATAACATTTATCATCTTGATCATTTTTAAGTGTACAGTTCAGAGGCATTAAGCATGTTCGCATGGTTGTGCAGCCATCACCACATCTCCAGGGCTTTTACATTGTTTCAAAGTGAAATGCTATACCCATTAAACAACAATCCTGCATTCCTCCCTCCCCAGCCCCTGGCACCCACCATTCTACTTTTTGTTGCTATGAATTTGACTACTCAGTACTTCCTGTAAGTAGAATCAAACAGCATTTGTCCTTTTGTGATTGGCTTATTTCATTGAGCATCATGTCCTCAGGTTTCATCCATGTTGTAGTATCTGACAAGATTTCTTTCCAAGATGGAATAATATTCCATTTTTATGGCGAGACCACATTTTGCTTATCTATTTATGTATCAAAAGATATTTGGGTTGTTTTTAACTTCTGGCAATTGTGAATAATGTTGCTATGTATGTGGGTGTATAACTATCCAAACCTGCTTTTTAAATAGGCTTCCCAGGTAATTCCTATGCCCTTTAATGTTTAAGAATCATTGCCTTTGGGAAGCCAGAGCTCTGACATCACCATTTATATAATTTGGTGTAGAGCTTCTAACCCTTAAGAAGTGACCTCTCCAGAGGCATTTTATTTCCAACTATAGGATGGCATATTTGTGCTCTCAGTTAATTACAGGCAAGTCTGAATAGACAGAGAGATGTCTTGGCAGTTCAGGGGACTTTCTCCTTGCTCTGATATCATTTTGTCCAAAAGTCTTGTCTAAGAACAAGCCATTTAAGCCAGTTGCTGATATTTGGAAGGTGTTGTGTCAGAAGAGACTTGATGTCCTCTGAGAGGTTTCTTGACATTCTCTGTTCCTCAAACTTCCACATGGGACACTTTCCCTCCACCTCACTTTGCCTGGACCACTCACCTTTAAATTTTGAGTTAGATGTTGTTTTCTTTAGGAAGGTTTCTCTTTGGTGAGGGCAATCACCAAGATGGGATTAGCAGCCTTCCCCGTAGGTTCCTGCCCACTTTTTACTGTGTACTATTATTACTGATTTACCTGCCTTTTGTCCTCACCAGACTATAAGCTCCTTGAGGGTGGGACTCATGCTTTCCCAGATCCCAGCCCTCCTGTAGCAGCTGCCCAAGACCTCTCAGCCCAGAGGTGTAAATGGGGTGGTCAATCGAATGTGTGGATAGGGGTGAAGCACAGGAAACTTCATCCTCAGCAGGGCATGGAAGTGGGACAGGGGAAATCTAGGAACTGACATTTGAAAAATAGTGTGTAAGCACCTGTGTGCCATGCCAGATGTGGTAAGCATTTCTCCATGGTGTCTGAGAAGTCAGCATCACCAAAACTGAAAACAGAATTTGCTAAGTCAAAAGAAAAAAAAAAGTTGCCATTTATTTGACAGTGCAATTAAAGTCATTTATGAGAACTGATTATTCTGAAATTCTATGCAGTATAATTATTTATATAAAATTCTTTTAAAATGTTGTTGTAAATTTGGAGTAATTACAGCAGGATACCCTATGCATGTTTCACTGTTCTTATTTGCTCCTGGAGAGTGTCTAATTGCAACTCAGAAGAATAGACTGTGCTAAGGACAATCAATGTGTTATGATGCCATCAGGCCCTAGTCTGGGGCCATTTATATCCAACTGAGATAGAGAGGATTGGAGAAGATTTCTGCAAATAACTGACCTGTGTTTTAGAGGATAAGAATAAGGGAATTTCAAGCCCAGGGACAGTATCCGAAATCTCTAGTTCCCACAGAGTAATGAGACCTGGTTCTATAAGTCTTAAGTGAAAATACATTGCATTACTTGATAGTCACATCTTATATCCCAAAATGTCCTGAATAAATACCCCGTGTGCCATTTCTTTCTATGTCACCACATTTGCATACTCAAACATCTTCCTTCCTCCCTTCCTCCCTCCCTCCTTCCCTCCTCCCTCTCCCTTCCTTCCTTTCTTTCTTTCTTTTTTTCTTTCTTTCTTTCTTTCTTTCTTTCTTTCTTTCTTTCTTTCTTTCTTTCTTTCTTCTTTTCTTTCTTTCTTTTTTTTCAGGACATTACCTGTTGATTCTTGGGCAAGGCCCAGAATTTGGTGGACATACTTAAAGAAGAAAGGAATCTTCAGCTAAAGTGTCTACGATCAATTCAGATTTGGAGGGCATGGATCTTCTGACAGTAGGGGCCATTCTAGGATTTTTTGGTTGAAGGTGAGTGAGAATTTGGTACATGGAAGGGGATGGGTGACTCTAAGGGCAGAGAAAGGAAAATCAAGTGAGCTGAAGAAGGAAGCACAGTGGTGGGACTGACCAACTGCACTCATGACCATTTAACCATGTGTTGGCTTGTGTAAGGGTGTGGAGCTCACTAGAGGATTTGAAGATGTTCAATCTTGCAACATACTCAGTGACTGTGTGTCCTAGAAATAGCACAGCTTCTATAGGGACTAGAGGGAACAGAAGAGTGGGGCTGAGGAGACGGAGGTAAAAAATTGACAGAGGGTTATTTTGCCTAAATCAGCATGACCTCAGAGGAGCTTGGATTAGACCAATAATATTGGGTTGGTGCAAAAGTAATTGCAGTTTTTGCCATTACTTTTAATTACTTTTAATTTGCCATTACTTTTAATTTGCCACACATTCCATTGACTATTCCAGAACTACAGGTTCACCTAATGTATTGGGTTGGTGCAAAAGTAATTGCGGTTTTAGCCGACTAAATCTAGATCTAACCCATCTAGATTTAGTGGGCTTTCTTCAAACAGACTGCGCTGATCAGGTAGATGATAATAGGATTTTTTTTTTCCATTACCAAGACTTAGATAAGGTAGTCAGGGAGTAGTCAGTAAGCCTGGTTTCTAATGATAGCTGTACCACTTACCTGTGTTACCTAAAGCAAGGCACCACATTTGTTTGGCTTCAGTGGCTTCATCTATAAAATGGATGATTGCATAAATGATCAGTCAGCCCTCTACACCTCCTAACTCAAACAAGCAATGTAGTTCAGTTGCTATGCATTTTGTAAGGCTGTGGTTCTCAACCAGAGGTGATTTTACTCCCAGGAGACAGTTGGCAATGTTTGGAGACACTTCTGGTTGTCATTACTGCTATTGGCATCTGGCAGGTGGAGGCCAGGAATGCTGCTAAACAGTCCTTCAATGCACAAGGCAGCCACCCTGCCCCAACAAACATTTATCCAGCTCCAAATATCAATAGTGACAAGGCCGAGATACCCTGCTTAAGGGGGAGAAACTGACACTCAAAAGAGGACATGACACTGTCTTGTTCTCTAAGTGTGGCTGGGGAAAGTTATGGCAGGTTCTATGCCATGAACTATGGAAGAGTAACAGCATATTAGAGCTAGCATCTTGATATGCTTTTCTCCCTTGTTGAGTGTAGAATATAACTTCTCAATAAGTTTCTTTTAAGATGATGAAATAAACTCTAATTGAATATGCCATCTGGGAACATTGAACTGCACAGAGACAGCAGTGGGCTCAATTCACATTATTCTCCCCACCCACTCTGGGTAAGTCTGAGTGTGAAAGGACTACTCAACTGCTGTCATACCGTCCATTTTTAAACACCTTTCCATGAAGAAGCTCAGAGTTCTACATTGAACATGATAACACTGATCCTCTACTTACCTTAATGTTGTCTATTGCATTTTAAGGGAAACTGAGCACAAATGATCTTGTGGTGGATCTAGAATCATGACTTGGCTTTGCTGGTTCTTTCCTCTAGGTTCAATCCATTAGCAGATTTTGCCCATCGCCGATGTTTCTGCCACATGCACATGTTCTGCGTGAACTGTGCTTCTGCAAGAGAGGCTGCTGTATAAATCTCACTTGTGAGGATTAAGCGAGATTATGTATATAAAAAAAGTAGATGCCCAGAACATGCTTGTGTTCTTTGAAAGGGCCAAGCTAATGTTGAGCAACAGCAGTGGGTAGATCTTGAGATTAAATGTCACCTCCATGCTGTTGCCGCTTCTCAGTCTACTTCTTAATTTGAAGCGGGTGGTGATTGAAAGTGAAGGAGGTTTGTTCTGTCCCAATCTGGACGTGTTTCATGTTTGGGAATACAGGAAAACAAGACAAGTGGGCCAAACTGCCTTGTTTCAATGCTCCAGTGACCATGAGGACTAATTGCTGTGCTAACAAGAATGAGAGTTTATTCAGACTTAGCGGATCAATGGACACATTCAATTTTCTACAGGCGCAGCTCAGTCCTGTTCCGCCTCTACATGTGCATTCCAAAGAGGCACTGATCTACAGTAACCTCCAGATGGCTGCAAGTCCCCAGTCCTCAGCGTGGGATAACCTCCAGCAGGAGAGAGCCCCGCAGGCCGATTACAGCCACTGCTGTCTTTTTCTATTCACCTCTAACCTTTCTTCTATGTCCCTAACACCTATAGAGTTTTAATCACATTCCAATTCAAGATAGATATACTATAAGTAGAATAAATCCTGAGAGGCTGTATGAAAACCTAGTTCTGTTCTTGGGATGACTAAAGGAAACATGAACTAGAAGGGTAGTTAGAAGGTAACAGAAGAGAAAGCAACTAGCATGCAATTTACAGATATTTTCTTTTCCTTTATAGAGATGAACTTCAACTTGGTTCCAGATGGGTGGTCCAGCTATTCTGCTGACAACATTTTTCAGGGCAAGGCTTTTGCTACTGGAATGATTTAAGGAAGATCCCTCAGTGTTTCAGAGTAAAGATATTTCTAAAGAAGTACCTGTGTCATTGCCCATCTTGAAGATTGACTTTTATGGATTGCTCAAATACTGATATCAGCTCAATGTCAATATATACTCCTACATATAAAATCCATCTTCTAATCATAATCACTAGGTAAGATGCTAGTGCAAGTTGAAGTTCTTAAAGGAGATGACCTGAACAGCCTTCTTAGTGTACCAGGGAGACCAGATTGAGTTTAAACTATGTTTACCCTGCACTCAGACACGCCTAGGTGTGTCTGGGAGATTAGTAGATGGTGTTCAACAAGGATCTATTTAAACAAGGGAGACATTAATTTGGATTCCTTTGGTTGTAAATTTCCAAAAAAAAAAAAAAGGTCTAAGTTAAAATGTTTAAGGAGGATGGGGGAAGAATGTGATGACTGTTATAGTTAATGTGAGCTTTAGGCTTGGCCGGATCCAGGTACTAAAACAATGTTATTAGATAATAAATCTAATTAAATATAATCTAAATTTCCATCTCGACTCTGCTTAACCCTGTTGGACTGCAAGTTAATGGTAAAATGAGCATCCATCACATTCACCATTCCACTTGCTTCAAGTCTAGTGGAAATAAATGAGAAATTAGCTTATTTTTTAATTGAGTGATTGAGCAATAGATCTGGGCTTGGATTTCATTGATGTGGTTCTCATCTCTATCACTACACTCCCCAAAGTCACCAAAGATTAGGGTGACCATGCATCTCAGTTTGCCTGCGATGGTCCCAGTGTATATCTGCTACCTGAGCATAAATATGGATAAACCCTGCTGTAGTTATCCTTGAAGATGGCCCTCAATTAATTATCCTAGTCTCTAGTCTCCAATTGTTCACACTCTTCTGGGACCCCTTCCAGATTGAGTAGGGCCAACATAAGTAACCACTTCAGCCTTGCTCTCTCGGGTTGCTTGACCCGGGGGAAGACAGTTGCCATGTTGTTAGAATACTCAAGCTGTCTGTGGGATGCCCGCGTGGGGAGGCACTGAAGCCCTTGCCAACAACTGGTACTAACTTTCCAGCCATGTGACTGAGTCACCTTGGAAACAGATCTCACAGCCCCAGTGAAGCCTTTAGATGACTGCAGTCCCAGCCAATAGCTGGCTGCCATCTCATGAGAGGTGCTGAGCCAGAACCTGTACCAAATTCTAAATTCTAGACCATCTAAACTGTAGGAGGTAATAAATGTTTGCTGTGTTAACACAGCACTGAGCTTTGGGGATAATTTGTTGTACAGAAATAGATTACTAGTACATATCCTCTTTCACTCTTAAAAGTGTCCCAGTTTAGAAAATAAACTAATTGTTCACCGACCGATGACCTCCATGTTGACAATGCTAGTCTTCAATTCTCCATCAACCCCTATACTCGTTTTCCTCAATGTGTCAAAAGTATTCGGTACACTTGACCACTCCCTTCTCTTTGACACAATTTCTTCACTGTGCTTTCAGAATAGTATTTTCACAGGCTACTCCTCCTCAGGGTTGTTTTTTTTTTTTTTTTCCTTAAACACACTCTCATCCTTTCTTTAGCCCTGGATGCTGCAGGTCTCCAGGATCCTTCAGAAGTCCTCAGAATTTTTCTCTTATCTGTTTAATATTAATGCTTAGTGCCTCATCGATTTCATTTAGTCCAATGAACTTATAAGATGAACACTCCCAATGTTAACTCACTGGTCCAGATGTCTTCCTATGCTCCAATCCTGTGTAATCAGCTGCCTAGTCAGTATCTCCACTGGATGTTTAATATGCATCTGAAATCAACTTGTCCATAACCGAAGTTCTGATCTTGCTCCATAAGCTTTCTTCCCCTTAGACTTTCACATTCCAATTAAAGATAGCTAGCAGTACTTCTAGAGTTTCTCAGGCTAAAAATCCTGAAGTTGTCCTTAACTGCTTTTCCCTCCCACCTCACATCCAACACAAAGCAAATTCTGAGTCCAAGCATGCTCTCCAACCCCTCTACTATTACTAACCTTACCCAAGTTACCATCACCTTTTGCCCGCCCCCAAATATCTCCCTCTCAGCACCCTTCGATCTATTCACTACACCCCAGCCAGTCTGTGCTGATTCTACAACCGAGGTCAGATTGTGCTGCCCTCTGTGCAACCCCTACCATGGCTTCTTACCTAACTCAGAAGAAAACCCCAAGCCCTTCTCAAGGTCTGCAAGACCCTATGAAATCCAGCTCCTTCACTACCTGACCTCATTTCCTTCATGTTCATCTTGATCATACCACACTCACTTACTAGGGGTGGCCTGAAGATGTCAGGTGCAATCCTACGTCAGGTCCTTTGCACGAGTAGGTCCCTCCACTGGGATGCCCTTCCCCCAGATATCCATTTGACCACCTCACTTTATTCAGTCTCAGCCCAAATGCCACCTTGTCAGAGTGGCCCTTGACGATCACTATATAAAAGTGATCTCTACCATCACTTTCTCTCTGCTTATTGTCCTTTGTTTTTGTTTTTCTTGATAATGGTCACCACTAGCTGATGGAGTTGAACATATGTATATGTGTGTATATATATATATGTGTGTGTGTGTATATGTAATATATATATGTATATATGTGTATATATATATGTCCTTCCCCAATTTTCTCCCTCTAGAATGTGAAGTTTTTGAGAGAAGGACTGTTGTTCATTGCAAAGCCTGTTGACAAAAGTCCTTGTGGGCCATGGAAAGGACAAGATGCCATGAACATGGGTGCTGGCACCTTCTGCCACCATGGGAAATGCCCCCAATGGCTTCAGCTTCCTCAGCCAATGGCAGCCTGGCCATGGTCCTCCATATTTTTAGCCCATTTCCTATTTCCCATTTAGAAAAAAATGAAACAAGTGCAGCTTGCTACCAGTGCTCATTTAATTTACATAAACATGCTGTTTGAGGCTGAAGCAAATCTGACTGATTTGCAATGTGAAAATAAAATATAAAAACACTTCATGTAGTTATTTCTAAACAGAACTTGTCTCTAATCCTAATGTAACACAGATGTATATGATGTTACATTAAGATGAGAGACAAGAGTATTCTCAGGCAAACAGGAAATAGGTTAACAGGTGCAAGACCAGCCTTGGAGCAATCTGATGGGCGCCATCAGAGGAGCAGTGTGACTTCTGGGCACTGACCACAGCAGTGCTGGTTGGGTACAGCTAAGGGTAGGGATCATCCCCAAAGAAAATGGGACGAGGAAAGAAGAGCATTGGATGTCTCTTAGAGCCAACAGCACTGGCACTCAGAGTACAAGTGAGACCATCTCTGGGAGAGCCCAGAACCCTTCATCACATTATCAGCTCCTCACAGAAGGGCTCATGACTATCCTTTTCACAGCTGTATTCCTCATACCATGACTGGCACATATTAGTCGTGGCTCATAGATGCTTGTTGAGTTTATCAATGGTTCTGCATGAAGAGTTTGAGAAAGGCCAGAGATTTATCAGAGAATGGAGGGGTGGAGACCCAGAAGTATTGATCTATGATTGTTGAAATGCTATTTTTATCATCAGAAAGATTTGGTCAGGGGCCTACAGGAACACTAGGAAGATACTTATAAAATATTCTGCTTCTTTAAAATCTCTCCCTTTGTAGAGCCATTAATCACAGAATTCCCAACCTGACGCCCCACTTTGTGGGTCTGTCGTCACAACTAGGGTATCTAGCTCATTGCCCCAGTTGCTCTTAACCTCTAAATTATGTTTTATACCTTTTTCTGCTGCTGCCATCCTAGGTTTTGCTGGCAGTAGAAATAAGATTGCCCCACTATCTTTCTTAAAACGATGTGAAATTTTCTGTTGCTCACTGGGTTAGTAGTTGACTCATGCTGCAGGAAATCTGGGAATTGAAGATGTGACAGATAATTAAGCCCCAACTCTCTCAAATAAACTCCTTCCCCTTCTCCATTACTCCTTCCTTAACTGTTTACTGTCAATTATGTGCTAAGCAATATGTAAAACATTAGGACTGTAGTAATAAAAAATACCCAATTTGTTTTAAAAATGTTTTTGAAAAGTAAAAACAAAAGGCTGAACCATGATGCTGGAATAAACAAAATTGTTGTTGAGCTTAGACTCTGAAAATTTTCTCTGCTTTTACCCTGTGTGTGTCTGAAGGTGGATATTGTTATGCAAGGAAGAGATGTGAATATACAGGAAATGAGATCCTTAAAGGGGTTGCCGTCCAGATGTTAGATCAAAGAGATTATGATTCATTCAACCAAGTCGCTGGACTTTTGAAGGCCTATCCAAGTCATGGTGCCTTTGAGGTTGCGCCTGTTACTATTCAAAACTTGGTATGTGTTATTCCATGTAAATGTTATGCAATGATTCAAAAATGAATACCAGGTTGAAAGATGTTATAACAGTCCCTTGTTCCAATGAACTCTACCTTTGTGAGCAAAGGTGACCAAAAAGACCACACTGCATGACCAGCAGCCCACAAACCAGACTGGGCTAAGTTCTGCTGCTATTTCTAGAGCTTGCTGCTGTTCAAAGCACTCCTTGGGTCCAGCCAGATTGCCATACTTTCTTGATGTATTTCCCATGGCTGCTTCATTTGTTGTTCATTTCTCTTAGTGCTTTTAGTAGGTTATTGTTTTAGGTGGCGTATCTGTACCTCCTCATAAAAGATTTTTGGGTCCACATTTTCCACTCAAAATCATAGTAGCCATGATGAACACCTGGCATCCTTTGGACAACTTTCCATAACTACATAATAATGAGCCAGTTTTTACCATCCATATTAGATATGGCTAGAGTGACTATTTTCTGAATCAAAATTGTGCTGAGCATTTGCCAAATATCAGATAAACTTAAAGCCCTAGAAGTATCTTAGAAAGTCCAAGGGGAGTGTCATTGTTCTAGACTTAGTTCAAAAGATGCTAGACAATGGCGTCCAAGTTCAGCCTTTGTAGACATATAGAGTGAACATTACCCTTGCTGTTATAGGTTTTATTCTCCACTGAGGGCCACAGAGCCTCACCATTGGTTTGCCCCACACACAACAGGGTAAATTCCTACTCCTTTGTCAATTAGGAATTTTCCAGGCAATGTGTTTACCTCTTGGGTAAATACATTACTTTCATCAGTGTAACTTAACTATAAAGTATTTTTAGAGGATCAGATTATTTGAGTATGGCTGTGATAAGTCTCTCCTTAAATGGACCTTAACAAAGTAGAAAGAAAACGTTAGCAGACATTTCAGACTAATGATGTTTTCTTTTTTTCAAGTGGGTTATTTAGAGTTGAATAGCAATTACTTAAAGCTAGTAGCAAAGGAACATTTTCTGTAATGATGTTTATTTATGCCTTTTCATTCTATAACATTCAGCATGTGACAAAGGAATTAGAGAAAAGACTAGTCGAATCTGGAGCCATGCAATTAATGAAATCCATATGTTTGAAGAAATCGTCTTATATAACTCCCATGCTTCTGATATTTCCTAGAACGTCTTAGATTGAGGTCATTGTGCACTATTAACAGAGTCCTGGTTAATAATGTACAATGACCTTAATTCAGCATGTTTTTAATGAATAGCTGAACTTCATGCTTATAACATCCTGACTATGCTTACAAATATTTTTCTAAATTGCTGGTCTGTTTGCAGATGCATTATCAGTGCATGCAAAAAATAAGATTATGCCTCGTTTAGGATTCTCTTTCTTGTAAAGTCCAATCACTGCTGCATTAAGATAGGTATGGGAATGTGTAGGCAAAGTCACATATAGTGACACACATTGGATAAAAAATATAAACTTCAGCCACATGATTCTTTCACTCAAAAACATAATGTGGCTCTCCTTTATATCTTTTTTTAATGATTTGCATAGCTTTCCATTGTGTGTATGTGCTATAATTTGTTTTAATAAACCCCCACTAATTGATAGCTGGATTGTTTCCTAGTTTGTAATTTATAAACCATGATGCAATTAACACCCAGGGAAACATATCTTTGTGTACTTGACAAATATTTCTACAGCATAAGTTTCTAGAAGGGGAATTTCTGGTTCAAAGGAAATGTACACTTAAGCTATGATTGGTATTGCTAAAAAACTATTTGTTTCAAATTCTCGCCAATTCTGGGAATCGGCATTTTCAATTTTTGCCAATTTGATGTGTCAAAAATCTTACTGTTGTTTTGATTTGCATTTATTTGATTAGTAAAGAGTCTGAATATCTTTTCATATATTTACTAGCCATTTTTATTTCCTCATTTGAAAACGGCCTATTCCTGAGCTTTGTTCATGGTTGTGTTGGATTGTTCTTTTTCTCATTAAGTTATACAAGCTCCTTGTGTATTACAGGAAAAAAAAAAACCATCTATTTTAATACATATGTTGCTTCCATTTTCATACTAATCACATTAGTATGTATTTTTCTATTGTACACTATTATTAAAGTTTCCCTCACTTTGATTCTCTGGCAAGTCCTATAAATTTTATGAGCAATTTTATTAAAGACATTTTTAAATATCATTATCAAAAAAGAGTGGGAAACTTTGCCTAAATATAGGAAAAATGAAGAAATGTACAGAACTTTTTTACTAAACATACAAGGTTTAATGTATATAAAGAAAAAACCTTTTATTTTTCCAGAAGATTCTTGAAGTCTGGCAATTCTTGGAGATCAAAAGTCTTGCATCACTTATGGAGACACTTCAGGCATGAGAGAGAGACCTATCTGTATCCCCTTAGAACACAGCATTATCAACTCCAGCAGGAGTAGAGTGTATTGTAGAAAGAATATGGGTCATGTAGACATTCTAGTTCATCATTCGTCATCATGTGCCCTGGTTTACCAGACAGTTCACTTCCTTTTCTGTGAAGTGCATGCAATTATACCTGACCTGGATGTAGGATTACTGTGGTCATTAAATGAGGTACACTATGTAAAATGTCTATATATAGTAGATGCTCAGTAAACACTCCTGTTCTCAATCCCGCAAGTTATCTCATGAAAAAATTGTACCTATAGCTACTCAACTGTGACAGGAACATTTAAAATGTAAAATCACCAAGTCAGTCAATATAAGGGTTCAGCTCTTTCTTGAAATACTCAGTTGCTGAGGTTTCTCACAAGTAAATCACGATACACTTGATTTTCTAGAATGAGGTGGAAAGTATATTCTCTTCAAGATAGTTCATAGCCTCTGTACATTTTAAATATCTAATGTTAATGCTGAAAATGATGCTTACTAGGGAAAGCAAGTGCTGCATGACAAATATTAGGGTCCATAAGCCATGTGAGTAAACTGAGAAGCTGGTCATAGTCCAAGAAGTGGATCAGGTATATGACTTGGTGTATGACTGATGCCTTATACGTCTACTTTGGCAGGGAAGGCCTCAAATACTTTTAGACAATAGTCTTCTTGGGGAGAAAAGTATGGCACCTGCAATTAGTCATGTTGATAGTACACACTCTTGATCTCACATGATGAAAAGGGCACTTCAGCTCTGTGGTCTTTCTCCCTCCAAAACCATAACCCCCATCTACTCATGAGGACAACTTTAGACAAATCCCGACTGAGGGGCCTTCTACACAATATCTGACCAGTGTTTCTCAAAACTGTCAGGGTCATCAAAACTAGGAAAGTCTAAGAAACTGTCCCCAGAGGAGCCTGAGGAGATACAGTGACTAAATGTAATGTGGTAGCCTGGATGGGGTTCTGGAACAGAAAAAGGACATTAGGCAAAACCTAAGGAAATCTGAATAAAGTATGACTTCAGTTAATACTAATGTATTACTATTGGTTTGTTAATTATAACAAAAGTACTGGACTAATGTAAGATGTTAATAATAGGGAAACTGGGTGTGTGGGCATATGGGAACTCTCTGTTCTGCCTTCACAATATTCCTATAAATCTAAAACTCTTCTGAAATGAAAAGTTTATTTTAAAAAAAATAGCTTCTTGCTTCACCGTCCATTCCACTCTCATTTAGTACATCAAAAAAGCAAAAAACAAAACTTCTGGAAAAGTATTTTCCCCAATACTTCTGGAAAAATAGTATGCTTTTAAGGAGGTTAAAGTCTCAATGTCACAAATCAGCATTTAATTTTCTCCAAATGTGTCTCAGATACTGGTCTCTTCTCGTCTGGGTTGCCCACTGTTTTGGGGGCCTATGCCAATCTGGGGCGCTAGTGGATGCTCGATAAATAATTAAGAATTGGTAGAGTGATGTGACAATTAGGTCTTTGTTAAGTAAATTCTGAATTCTGGCCAAACCAGTCCATGTCATGAAGTGGCTCTATTCTACAAGAAGCCAGACTGCAGACCAGCTGTGGGGCAACATCCAAGGTTGGCTTGCATGCGTGTGCACAACCACTCTCCTCACATTCAGTTCTCACGCGGCAACACATCAGTTCTGGACAGAGGGTACAAGATTAAAAAATGAGAGTTGATCTTTGCACAGTGTCCATGGCAGGCCCCTTCTCCTGGCCTGTAAATTGTGGTTGGGTACTACATGGTCTTAAATACAACCAGTTCAGGCAGAAATCACTGAAGCAACATTTAAAAAACAAACAAACAAAAACACATCATTTCTTAGTCAGCTAGGGTGTTAGGAGTTTCCCAGTATTTTATTTAAACTAATGAACCAAAGCATTTATCAGACTGAGTAATTGACTAATGCAAATTTACATGTTCAAATGGATGCATATTCCAAGTCAATTTGGCATGTTCTCCATCTATACGCTCCAGAGTGCCGTACTATTTGCAGAGCACGTGGAATATAGAGAAATCTCAAGTTCATTTCTCATGTGTGTGTGAGCATGCTGATGTGTGCATGTGTTTGTGTAATGTTGGTTACTAATAAACTTCAGCCAGAGGAAGGAAAGGAGTGAAATATCTTATATTTAGCAGCCTTTCCAATTGATTTCAAATGAAATTGTTGCTTAGTGTTTTCTTTATATCAATAATGAAAAATGGTGGGGGTGACAAATGAGTCTTGACTTTCCAGGTCGCAAGGATGGTAACAGAAGGCACTCAGCAGGTCTGCCCACTCCTGTTGTTAATTAAAGTATTTTCACATTCTCCAGGGTGTAATGCACTCTGGGCATTGAGCCCCAGAGAGACTTGTGCAGTTTAATAATCACACATTCGAATAAATGCAGTAGGGGTCCACCAGGGAACAGATCGCTTCTCCACTCTCATTAATGTCTGCAACACTCTGCAAATATCTGAAATGCACTGGCTCCATTTCTTACGAATAATAAATAATATTCACGCTCCTAGTTGCTCAGTGGCTCAAGGCAAGGCAGACACCCACCTGCTCAGCTGAGACCAACGTGGGGGCAGGGAGTGACATTTGCAGCTCAGAGCTTGCTTTATTGCATTCACCAAGTGGTTCTTGCCAAAGCAGATTTCCTTGGATTTGTTACACCCTTTGTCTGGATTGCACTGTAATTCTCATTTGTTGGCACTGTTAATGCATTTGTCTGCGTATGAAATATGAAGACTTTTACAAAGCTGATCTTGAACTGTCAGAGGGTATATCTGCACACCCCCAAATCATCTTAAAGACCTCGAACCTCAGAAAAACGACACATTTTAAATATTCGACATCCTTCCAAACTACTGCTAAACTAAATTGAATGTAAGCCTCCTGAATACTTCAAATTTTAGTTGAAAGAAAGTTGGGGCAATTTTACTTCAGGGAAGTATATAAGTCCAAAAACTCAGGGTAGGAACTAGCTGATGGAAATAACGCTAGGATTTGACCCTTGCGAGTGTTTGTAGAAGATCGGGACTCCTGTTTCAGTTGTAATAATGCAAACACAACACAGCTTAATGAGAATAACAGGTTATATTTTATTGTGTATTGTATTTCACAAAGGGCTATATATGTATATAAACCACATGTAATCATCACAACAGCTTATATGAAAGATAAGGTTATTTTTCAAAAAAAAAAAAAACAAAATTACAGTTCAGTGAGGTTAAAGGATTAGCCCAGAACACACAATACATGGCAGAGTTTCTCCTTAAACCCAGGTCTTCTGACTCCAAGGATGTTCACTGTTAAAACAGTGCTTTATATTGGATAGCAATTGATATATTTCAGCATTTTGCCTCAGGGAATATTGACCCTCCATCTTTGTTTTGTAAAGAAATCTGTATTATATCTGTGGCACAGAAAGACTTAACATTCTTTGATGTGTATTTGGTTGGCTGCAAAATAGCCTGGCTGCTCTAAGCTAAAAAGCAAGTTAGCAGGATATCGAAATCTGCTGTCATTCATTTAGCAGTAGCTTGAGTTGAATTAATTAGCAGTAGCTGAGGTGGTCATAGTGATATGACATTCCTTAATACATGAAAGACCATCAGCTCAGGATCAAGCAGATAGATACAGAAGAGGAGGAGAAAGAGGTTCCTGCTCCTTTTCCTCCCTTTCTTCCTCCTAAAACAGGTATAGTTGGGAAATGTGATCCTGACAATTTGTGTAATATTTTGTACTCTATAAAGCACTTTTGTGGTTGGTGGTATTATTTAAGTCTCTCAAAAGCCATCGTCAGTAGGTAGATATCATCACAATTTATGGGCAAAGCTAAACTACTTGAAAAAGTCTTCCTTCCTTTCTCCCTTCCCTACGAGTCTACTGACCTGTCTGATGGCAAATGCCTAGTGTTCAAGGCATGCTTTGAAATCAGCACTTCTGTTCCAGTCTCTCCAATTTTTCACTAACACTTCCTTCTTCTTTGTTAACACTACCTTCTCACTCATGGCTGTGCAGAGACTCCCTAAAATATACTCCTATCTTGGTTGCACGAAAACATTAGTTTATAATACTCATCAGGGAAACACAGATGCAAAGAATATTGTATTCATCTATCAGTAGAGCAAAGTGGCCTTCATGTACCTGTGCTGCCCCTGCCTTCTTGCTAGGGTTGCCAGATAAAATACCAGATGCCCAGTTAAATGTGAATGGTTCTTTTAGTACAAATATATTCCATGGCTTATGTGGGACATACATATACCAGACAATTATTTATTGCTTATCTGAAATGTAAAGCATTGGGGTCTGTAGTACAATGTTGAGCACTCTAGGGTCTGAAATTTGACTTTAACTTCCTGTATTTCTATTTGCTAACGTGGGCAGCCCTATGGGGGTCTGGGCTCTGCTTACCTCTGGGCTACTCTGGATACCAGTGTCATTTCTCTTTACATCTTTCTGGGAGATCATGGGCATCGTCAGGACAATGGCTCTTTTTGAGATATGCCAATAGACACTGTGGAGGAAAGAATTTATAAACTGTAAAAGCTTTACCAGCACTGTGCACCACCTCATTTCCACGGTGGCATTTTTGCTCCATGAGGCTCATTCAGAGAAGGAGGGTGATGAGGGCACCAGCTCTAAGCCCATCTTCAGTATCAAAATCTCATTCTCACTCATCTCAAAGTGCCCTTAAGATACTCCACAAGCAAATGCTATTGCTATGAGAAAATAGTCAAACCCTTGAATCCTTGAATATCTTTGACTACAATCTGCATTCACATAGTGTTAAGTAAGAAGCAGTGTCAATGGAGAAGTTAATATATGAGTAAAACTTCCTAAAAAAGAACAAAATAAATAAAAGCAGGTAAAAATAGCCCAAAACATCAGTGATGGTCAGTAATAACTCGTTGATAATGGGCTTAATGAGGTGACATCTAGAATTTTATAACAGGTAAATAATAAGACATTTATATGCATAGGATAGACAGACACACACACACACACACACACACACACACGCACAAATTTGTTCTTTGTATTATTTGGTAGCATGGTTTTTAAAAAAACATTTAAAAAATTTAGCGTGGTTTTTAAAAAAACATTTAAAAATGGATTTAGATTATTTCTATTTTCATCTCTAGTAAATAAATGCATCGCTTAAATAATATCTTGTGAAAGAAGATTTCCTATGACTTTTCACACTGTTTAATATGAAATTACACCACAATTCACATTTCTTTGCAGCGTTAACAAATTCGTTCTCCACAACTCTCTTCATCCAAAGTCTGAGACCTTGCAAAGCTGAATGTGAATGGTCAGAGGTGTAGATGCACATCCCTCAAATCATCTTAGAGAGTTTGTGGCCAGAGAAAAGCCCAGGGAAAATTTTTATATACTACCAAACTGCCCAACTAAGCCTGACTAAATTCCCCCTCTCAGGTGAGAGTGAGCTGGACAGGGTGCTGGAATGGAACATGACTACAAGATCAGGAGCCAGAGGGGCCGTTTGAACCCTGCTTCATCACGTGCTAATTATGCACCCTGAAGCATGTTACTCAACCTGCCCAGGTGTGGTTTCCTCTTCTGTAAAGTGGGAGTAGGGGTGGGGGGAAGAAGCTGTAGCATTGGGTTGTTCTGAAGGTTAAATTAAATGAGTTATCATTTATAAAGGGCTTGGGACAGTGTACCTAGAAATTGGTATATAAGTGTTTGTTAATTAAATAAAAGACACATGCATACATGTGCATATATGCACATACCTATATCTGTGTAATATATATTAAAATATATTATAAATAATATTTATTATTATATTATAAATACATGTGGTACACCTAAAATATATTGAACATACTATACATCACATCTTACATTACGTCTGACATTTTCATCGTAGTGTATATTACATGTATACATATACATATACATATATATATATTTTTTCTTTTAATGAAGCCCAGAACCCAGTGTGACAAGGGAATCCTACATTCCTCAGGCATTTTGGCTCAATGAGCACCTTCAAGGAAGTCCTTCTCAGCACCTGGAGGACAGAGTGAGAGATAAGGAAAAATCCCCTGAGGGGCAAAGCGTGCCTGGAGGTCAAGTCTGAATGCCTCACACTTTGGAAGGACGTGGCGTTCGCACCAACAGGGCACTGTGCCTCCCTCACAGGCTGGTGCACCCCGATAGGTCTCAGGACGCCCCACTCAGCATGAACACAGACTGCGTGCTGGCACTCTTCCTCCTTTCCCAGCAAATGAGCAGGTTCCACAGCTTCTGCCAAGGGATCTGCTCACATCAGGGGCTGCAGGCAACCCCTTCGATGCTGAAAATTCTGGAGACTCCCACAGTCTCCAGCCTGCAGGTCCTTCTGTCACTGACAGAAAGAGACTCCACCCACTGCTCAGACACCTGTGCAGAAATGAATTCACGGGGTCACTTATGTGAGAAAGAAGTAGTCATGGACTGCCGCTGCTGCCTGGGGTTACTGTACATAGTGTGTGTGTGTGTGTGTGTGTGTGTGTGTGTGTGTGTGTGTGTGTGAGAGAGAGAGAGAGAGACAGATAATGGTATACTCAGTGAAGGCAATATAAATGCACAGAAACAGAAGAGAAGCAATGATGAGAGGAAGCTCCAGTAACCCAGATGAACCAAATTACTAATATGGACTGTATCCACTTCTTTACCTTACAGGTGTGCAGGTGGTGTGCGGTGTGTGTGGTGTGGTTGTGTTTGGTGGATATGTATGTGGTATGCATGGTGTGACGTGTGGTGTGTATGTGTGGTGTGTGTGGTATGGTGGTATGCGTGGTGTGATGTATACGTGTGGTTTGTATGTGTAGTGTGTGTTGTGTGCATGGTATGATGTGTATGTGTGGTGTGTATGTGTAGTGTGTATGGTTTGCATGCGTTTCCTTTGCAGGTTATTTCTTTGATTTTGTTTTTTGAGACAAGGTCTCTCTCTGTCACCCAGGCTGGAGCGCAGTGCTGCGATCTTGGCTCACTGCAACCTCTGCCTCCTGGGTTCAAGCGATTCTCCCACCTCAGCCTCCCGAGTAGCTGGGACTACAGGCACCTACCACCTTGCCTGGCTAATTTTTTTTTTTTCTTGGTAGAGACAGGGTTTCGCTACATTGGCCAGGCTGTTCTTGAACTCCTGACCTCAAGTAATCCACCCACCTCAGCCTCCCAAAGTACTGGGATTAGAGGTGTGAGCCACCGCGCCCGGCCTCTGCAGGTTATTTCTGTGTGTTTCTCGTCCGTATGCATCTGGCCTTTGCCTAGCTGAGGTTTTAGTTTGTAGAGGCATCTCCCACATTCCTCTTAAACATCCAGTGGAATCAGGAGGATATTGCTGCATTTCCCCATCAGTTTTGGGGAGCCCCCCTCTGCACGGATAAGTAGGCTTTAGAGTATTCATCAGCATGTCTGCCGTTTTCCTAATACCTGCTCAGCACAATGGCCAAGGGGTTAGTTTAAAAAGCATTCAGAGCCTGGTGTGGTGGCTCAAGCCTGTAATCCCAGTGACTCAGAGGCTAAAGCAGGAAGATTTCTTGAGGCCAGGAGTTAGAGGCCATCCTGGGTAATAAAGTGAGACCCCCATCTCCCCAAAAAAATAAAAAACTTAGGGCAGGTGTGTGCCAGTAGTCCCAGCTCCCCAGCTACTTGGGAGGCTGAGGAGGGAGGATTGCTTGAGCCCAGGTGATGGAGGCTGCAGTGAGCCATGACCATGTCACTGCACTCCAGCCTGGGTGACAAACAAGCATCCGAATCCCCCTGCACACACACACACAAATAAATAAAAGTATTCGATATTCTCTCAGAGCAAACAAGATCCACAGTCACAGTTTTGCTGGGAGATAGATGAGCAATTGCAATACTCTGACTCTCCTGCAAAACCTGGGCACTGGCCAAATATTTTCCCACCCGCTGAAAGAACCGGTAGCAGGAAGTTATCTTAAAGGTACTTGATGGCTTTCTTTGCAAGTTGAAGAAAACCTCCTGTTATCAATGATGGCAGACTGAGGTTAAAACGGTTTCCTCTCAAATGCTTGGATAACTTAAACAGAGCTGATGAGGACAGCTTTCAATGTACCCAGTTCACCAAGACTGAGCAATTCCAATATTTAAATTACTCAGGTTAGAAGTGTGCTCTCAGCTGGTAGACTAAAAGTTACAGACAATTCTGACTAATCCGTACATTTAATCAGATATAGATGGATTCTCAGAGGGCAAACTCCATGCCTGCTTTATAGAATTCCCATGCCTCTCTCTGTTCTCCCCTGCCTCCCCTGGAGTTAAGCATGAGCTATCTTAAGTTGTACTCCTCCTCATCTTTCCCATTTGTTGTTGTTGTTTGTTTGTTTGTTGTTGTTTTTTTTTTTTTTTTTGGTTTTTTTGAGACGGAGTCTCACACTGCCCTCTGGGTTGGAGTGCAGTGGCGCGATCTTGGCTCACTGCAACCTCCACCTCCCGGGTTCAAGCAATTCTCCTGCCTCAGCCTCCCTTGTAGCTGGGATTACAGGCGCCTGCCACCATGCCCAGCTAACTTTTTTGTATTTTTAGTAGAGACGGGGTTTCACTATGTTGGCCAGGCTGGTCTCGAACGCCTGACCTCGTGATCCACCCGCCTTGGCCTCCCAAAGTGCTGGGATTACTGACGCGAGCCATTGCGCCCAGCCACCTTCCCCTTTTTTCACAGTGGACAGCTCCTGCCCCAATTTTATAACGGGACTGTGCACCCATTTCTCTTTTGAGTGCAGCTTCAGAGATTTTCTTTGTAGGATTTTTACTTTCTTGTCAGGGACTTGATCAGGCCAAAAATACATGCCAACAGCATTTGGGAAAATCCCCTGGGTCACAGCCACCTCTACACCCATTTTCTTAGGACAGATGGTATTTTGTGACAGCTGCCAGATTTACCAAGACCTAAGTTTAGAAAAAAATTCAAGTAAAGGCAGAAAACTTACTAGAGAGAGGGATAATGTCACAGGCTTCAGTTCTCTTTTAATTTCACTGCAGATCGCTTTGATTTGCTGCCTGTTTGTCCCTCCCATGCCCCGTCTATTTCTATATGTATGCTCTTGGGGAAGGGTCTTTGAAAAAATTCCATCGATGGATTTTTACTGGGGGTAATTTTCTTCATCATGTTTACTGTACATTTCCACTTTAGCTACTTGATTTGCTGTTCTTAAGATCAATCCTAGCAGTTTTTTTACTTCTGGAAGTGAATGATCACTTCATCTTAATTTTGGCTTTTTTTTTTCAAATGAAAAGTATTCTGAAATATCCTCCAACTATCACAATCATTTCTCATCCTGACCCTTTATTCTTCCAAGAGAATCTCTAATCATAACCCTCTAATCTCAAATCATAACCATGTGACATTGCCTCCTTAAAGCCGCATAGGATTAGCCCCAGATGGACAACTGTTCTGAAGCACTTCTAGATGTGTTGTGGTTGCTGAAATCCTTTTACGAAAGTATGGGTGGAATCAATTCAATAGAAACAGATATAATGAGCACCGGTAGTTGATAGTGAAGGCAGGACCTGCCATGCCATTTAGACTTGAAAACTGGGAACACTATTTGGAGTCATATGTCAGCAAAGCAGGTGGGGAGAAGAAACTGGTGGGTGCGAGATAAAGGAAAGTAGAGGTGCAGGAGATGGTCTGGCCCCTGAGATAACACGTGAGTGAGGGCAGTCAGTCCTTGATGTTTTCATTCTAGTCCAAATGAGGCTGGGGTATGTATAATCTCATTCTCATCCATGAGATTGCCCTTGATAGCCTTAAAATAGGTCTTCCTCTCCAGCGACTTTGTCTTTGTACAACTGCATTTCTCAAGAACACATACTTCATGTCTAAGACCACTGGTTTCATTCTAGTATCGATTCTCTCCTTTATCACAGGTAGTAGAACTCTGATTTTTAACCAGCTCACTAGGCTTGGTATATAGACTGATTTTCCTATTTTTCCCTTGTAGCTAGGAGTGATCAGGGGACTGAAATGGTAAAACAAGGATTTTTTTTTCCAAAATATATAACCATAGTACAAACAGTAAACTCAGGGAATGAATGTTGCTACAATTCTGTTATCTAATCCATAGATCTTATTTGGATTTTGCCAGTCGTCCCAGTAATATGCTTTATGACCAGAGAAAATCCTGAAAGATATATTGTCTGTCTTTTTAGTCCCCTTAAGTCTGAAACAGTTGTTTCTCAGTCTTTCCTTGATTTTTATAACTTGATATTTTTGGAGGATAGGCTAGATATTTTGTAGAATGTCCTTCCATTTGGGTTTGTTTCATGTTTCCTCACAGTGAGAATCAGGTTGTGGGGCAGCAATAGCACAAAAGAGGTGTTGCGTTCTCCCCAGTTCATTATATTTGGAGACAGAGGATTTGATTTGTCCCATTACTGGACTTGACCACTTGGTGAAGGAGGTGTCTGCCAGGTTTCTTCACTATATAGTTACTATTTTTCCATTTTTATTGTTTTAGAGCTACCGTTATTAGGTGACTGTCTGTACAGCTGATCCTTGTTGGATGACCAACAGATAATAAGGACAGGATCATGCAAAAATACTTTGCTCTATCTTTTCCATCATTTTGATGAACTGGCTGAGCGATCATTTCAAGACCTTGACAACTTTATTAAATAGTTCTTTTCTAACTCTGTGTTGACAGTAATAAAACAAGCAAGGGGCCAAAAGACCTTTGCTAAAAAGCTCTTTCTTTATACAAAATCAACTCGAAGCTAATGGTATGTTCAGTGAAGGCAATATAAATGCATAGAAACAGAAGAGAAGCAATGATGAGAGGAAGCTCCAGTAACCCAGATGAACCAAATTACAAGTATGGACTGTATTTACTTCTTTACCTGACGGTGTCTTTTAGCCATCAATGAGGTTCTTGATGGGGGTTTCCCTGAAGTACAAGTGGTTGTGGAAATACTTGAGGACTAATCTCATGCCAAGTAATGAATTATTATATTTTAAACTCTGTCTCTTTCAGGTTTTAACCATTTAAGGCCATGAGGTGTGAGGTCTTTTGAGAGTGAAAGAACTCATATTAATCCAGCTCCTGACTCCTAAAAAAACAGTAACTCTTGTAATTAAAATGGGCAGAGTCCATCAAGAAGCAGTGTCCAGAAGGTAATTTTGTTTTTAAAAGTCTTTATCTAAGTCCGAATTGAGATAGAAGCAAATGAGAATTATCACCCTATTTCTAATTCAGCAGATGTAACCTTTGTGGTAAAGCTTGAGGTGAAATGATGAAATCCATGCAGCGGGTCTGATTAACAGACTTCCTCTAGCATTGAGGTGCACAGCCTTGCACAGTCTGCAGCATTTTTAGCCTATTCGATCGTTTGAAGATGATGAAAGATTAAAAGTTCAGTAAAAATGCCCAATTCACAAATTTCATAAACCTAATGGAAGCAAGTGCAAAGAATGCCTCAGAAACAACAGGGTGATGGAATCCACGTGTCACAATTAGTGGACAAGAACTATGATTGCAAAGTCCACTTTGTGTTAGAATAAGGTGGATTTGGAGCCATCATCAAAATGATGAGATACATCCTCAAATGGTGAGATTGTGGTGGGTGTATCCACCACAATAACACACTTATTTCCCTGGAATGATCTTGCAAGATCAATATGGAATCTTAAACAATATCTTTCAAAAGGTATGCTAAGTTGGCCAATGTGTACTTCATTTTTTTACAGTCTTTTCAACATCAGAGCCATTTAAAAAAATTATTACATTCATTTCTTACAATCGATTACTGGAAGCAAAATATGCTGAACAGTAAATGAGCAAGGATAACTATAATAATTTTAAAAGACAAGAACAATGAGAGAGAACTGCTCTGATATAGACAGATAGATATACATATATCTATATATATTCATCCTACAGTAATTGAACATAGATGGTGGCATGGGAATATGCCAACAGATCAGTGGAAAAGAATATTGGACAGAGCCACAGCCATGTATCTGTATGGAAATTTGGTGTATGAGAAAATTGGCATTTCAAATCAGCAGAGAAAAAAGAAATATTCAACAAACTATGTTGGGATACTTGGCAATGCATCTGAGGGAAAATATTAAATTTTATCTTTATTTTATTGTAATGTAAATTTCAGATGCAAAATCAACAAGCTAAACAAAATTTATAAAGTATTAGAATAAAACATAAGGGGAATTTTTGTAATTGAAGAAAGTCTTTTAGAAAATACAAGGGATTTGCAGATTTTGAGCTCATAAAGTGATTGTTTTCTCTATTAAAAAGACACTTAAAAATTGAATGAACAAATGTAATTATATAAAAATATTTGCAGCACTGGGCCATGTGGCGAGCAGCAGTGTCACCAGGAAACATGCCGAGCTGGGTCAGGAACTGCGCAAGGAGGAGGAGACACTGCTCCTGTTGAAGGCAGCCCTCGCATGACCTGCTGAATCACATCAAGGTTGAAGCATTGGCCCTCCAATCAATGATTAGTTCTGGGAGAGGGGATGAGGTGCTGTCTTCTCCAACTTCTCCAACTGTGCCTGAACAGTCACACGTCATGTCAGTGCATATAGAGAATGAAGCATCAGTCAACCAAACTACGCTGGAGTGGAGCATAGAGTCCTGTGACAGAAGAGGAGGAGGAAGAGAAAGAAGAATCAGATCCCTAAAGGAGGGAAAAAGCCAGGATTCATTATACAAATTAAATTTCTAAGTCTCAGGCTCTTTCTCCCCAAGGAAATCATCTTGCCATGAGCCCTAGGGCCTGCTTGAATGGAGAGCAAGAACTATAGGAGGATGTGTAGCTGCAAAAATTTCTCATCAATAACTCAATCTTCAGAACGTTATGACATACAGAAAATCAAAGATGCTGTGTCTTAGCATTGAGCAATATGGGTGGTGCTATGTCTGTAGTCTGGTCAAATTCAGTAACTGTGTTCAAAACAAAATTTCCTCTGGAATACTATTGAGAAAATCTGGCATTTGCAAAAAGGGCAGAGTTTAAATATGAGCCAGTCTTTCCAATCAACAATACCTCTTTTAAGAAAACCAACTAACAGCTGTTTGCATGCCGTTGAATCCTTGTGAGCAGTTAGGCCACAGTCTAGGACAGAAAGATGACACGGGGAAGGACTGAGGGCCATCTGAGAACAAAAGTTGTTGCTACTTCTCAGAGGCATTGAGACACACTGCATGCTGTAGACTGCTTTGTGTAACTGTTGTCACATCTTGCTTGAGATGTCATTGGCAGAATGTTCTTAAAAATAAATTATAGATAAATAGCCATCATGGAGTTTGCTGGTTTCTAGATAGCAAAAGAGAAAAGAAGCAGTTCCTGCCTGGCCCGGTGGCTCATGCCTGTAATCCCAGCACTTTGGGAGGCTGAGGTGAGTAGATCACTTGAGGTCAGGAGCTCGAGACCAACCTGGCCAACATGGTGAAACCCTGTCTCTATTAAAAATACAAAAATTAGCTGGGCATGGTGGCATGCGCCTGTAATCCCAGCTACTCAGGAGGCTGAGGCAGGATAATCACTTGAACTCAGGAGGTGGAGGTTGCAGTGAGCCGAGATTTTGCCAATGCACTCCAGCTGGGGCAACAGAGCGAGACTCTGTCTCAAAAAAAAAAAAAAAAAAAAAAAAAAAGAAAAAGAAAAAGAAAAAAGAAAAAAAAAAGAAGCAGTTCTTCCTCTAATGAAAAGATACAACAAGATAGTTTGAAATTCATTTCTGGCCCTTAGAGAAGAAGTGTGCCATGCTTGGAAGACTGGATTTTTATAACAGAGATGGCAGCTACAGAATAAGAGTTGTTGATACTTGGGATCTGAAGTAGAGATCATTTCTGCATACTGTCCCTTTTCCACTCACTATACAGTGAAATGAGTAGTTGCTGAATATTATAAAATTAATTTTCCCTGCCAAAGCAACAGTGAAAGCCAAACAAAATACAAATAACCTTCTCAAGCAGAATTTATGTAAAAGTTCCCAGAGAAACATGGATACCCTTTTTTGTTAATCAGTATTTCATTAAAGTTATGTTGAGTTACTCTTAGAGAAAACAGACAAAAAAAATTGCAGCATATGTAACAGTTAAAAGAATTAATAACTGCAATATGTAAAGAGTAACACTAGTTAATTAGTAAAAACAAATAACCAATAATACATGGACAAAGAATAAGAAATTCACAGAAGAAATACAGTTATTAGTGAGAAGCAATGGCTCACGCCTGTAATCCCAGCACTTTGGGAGGCCGAGGTGGGCAGATCACCTGAGGTCAGGAGTTCGAGACCAGTCTGGCCAACATGGTGAAACCCTGTCTCTACTGGCAAATACAAAAATTAGCCAGGTGTGGTGGCGGACACCTGTAATCCCAGCTACTCAGGAAGCTGAGGCAGGAGAACCACTTGAACCTGGGAGGTAGAGGTTGCAGTGAGCCGAGATCAGGCCATTGCACTCCAGCTTGGGCGGGAAGAGTGAAACTCCATCTCACAAAAAAAAAAAAAAAAAAAGAAAGAAAAGAAATGCAGTTATCTAATTAAACACATTAACATTTGCTTAGCTTCTTCACTAGTGCTAAGAGGAATTAAAGCAATGAGATATGATTTTTACAAAAATGGGTATGATTTAAAATCAGTTTTGTCTGATAGTATGTTCTGATGAAACTGTGGGGAAACCAGCATTCTCATACATGCTTGTTGGTGCATAAACCAACATGACTATCTTCATGGGCATTTTGGCAATATCTGTTAAAGTGAGAAATATGCATTCTCTATGTCCTTGCACTTTCTCTTTTCCGTATCTATCTCAGAAAAAAAAAACAGCCTTATGAAGTAAATTTAGGGACACAGTGGAGCAGCTAGCACACAGGTAGATGCAGAACCAAACCTCTGCTTTGGGCCTTAGTGTCCAAGCCTGGAAACAAAAGGGGTTTGATTATGTGATCTGTAAAGTTTTCTTTAGTTCTAAATATTACACATCTCTTACATGAAATTCAGTAATGAGTGGATGAAAACATTTTAAGTAATCTTCTACTATTAACAAGTTCAGTGGTTTTATTTTTATCATTTTCTAGAGTAGTGATTCTTAGAGGTTAAATTCCTTTCTGTGGAGGTTCTGCATTCTTCCTTACATTGATGAATAGAAGCTTCTCTAGAAAGAAGCAAAACAATTTCCAGCAAAATTAAGTATGGGTCAGCTACAATTATTGAAGACTGTTTACTAACCAAAAAAGGAGCTTATAAACTGACTTGTGAGCAGCTGTTTTCCAATGGAACATTATTGGTTATTGAAACCCTGCAACAGGAGAAAACCTGGTCCTAACATCTAGTTATGTGTATCTATTTTTGAGACCAACTGTAAGAATTGATTTGAGCATCTTGCTTTGGGTTCTTAAAATATGTTATCCCAGACCTTTAAGTACTGTGAATAATAAAAACTTCAGAGTCCTATCTCAAGTTGATCCTTCTCTTGCAAAATTACTTTGTCCTGAAATCTCCCAGCAGAGCACCAGTGCAACTGTCTGGAGCTCAAGCTGGAGTTGGCCATGTCTGAGCTGTTCTGCAGCCAACTCAGAATGTAGATTTCTTTTTCTGTCTGCTGGATCTATTCCCTATAGTCCTTCACCCTGTGTTACATAGACGAATTTTGTTAAAAGCTACTCTTTTGTTTTCTATGATTTGTGTAATAATAAATAATGTAGTTTCATTAATCAAAGACTTTTCTTGGAGATCAAATTTGGTTCAGCCAAGAAGTGTAAGTCATTTAAGTACAATGTCATATGAAATCCCCTAAATGATGATCTGGTTTATAGAGTTTAAATACCTACCCGAAAACTGATAAAATTATAGACGCATATGCTTTCATAATCTAACAAATTGATTAACTCCCTTAGTTTTGGAAAACAGAAGAGCTATGAGAGAATTTTATTGTTATTATTATTATTATTATTTGAAGGAGAAGTCTCTACAAACTAAAGAGCTCTGTAAACATCTACTCAGGTCCCTCTGTTTGATTTGCTTTATGGTGGAATGATATTTTTTCAGGTAATAAGTTCAGAAGAAGTGGCTGATTAATATCAGATTTTTCATGTGCTTCAAAGAAGCCTTTTAAAATGAAGGGTTTAGGAATTTCACTTCTTGTAATGGGAATAAACTTAGTTAAGTGAGCTAACTGCTAAAATAAGCAAACATGCAAATCAACACTATTTGGGGGAACATAACAAAATTCATGGTGTCTACAAATATCATTCATGATGTCCAGGATGCAATGCAGGATTACCATACATACAAAGAAACAGTCAAACATGACCCATGCTCTAGAGAAAAGAAATTAATATTGACCAACTCTGTGATGACTTGGATATTGAAGTTACTAGAGAAGTATTTTAAAGCAGTTATTATAACCATGCTCAATAAGATAAAGACTGCTTTAGTCATAATGAAAGAATACATAGGAAATCTCATATAGGGACATATGGAAAATCTTAATAGGGAAAATAAAGGATCAAAAAGAAATTAATGGAAATTCTAGGACAAAAATAAATCAATAAAATAAAATTTCAAATAATAAATTCACTGGTGGGCTTCACAGCAGATTAGAGGTAACATAAGAAAAAGATAAACAGAAATAGATTAATAGAAATTATTCAGTCTGAAGAACAGACACTAAAAGATTGGGGGAAACATGAACAGGCTTTAGTGGAACAATATCCACAGTCATAACATATATTTAATTAAGATCCCAACATGAAAGAGAGAATGGGGCAGAAAAAATATTTGAAGAACTAGAGGCTGCAAATTTTCCAAATTTGGCACAAAGCAAAAAGTGTTTATGTTTCATACTGGAGTCCATATTCAGTTGCTTTCTAAGATAAGTAAAAACTGGCCAGTCTTTGTAAAAAGAAAGGATGTTATTCTGATTGCCTGATGGTATGTTATTTGGATTGCAAAACAACAGGCAAAATATGAGTAGTCTTTCCAAATGCATGATTTGGTGAAATAAAGAATATCTAAATTAGATATTAGCAAACAATTAGAAAAACGTAAAGCCAAAAAGAAAACAAATAAAACCAAAGCCTTTACAATGGCAACAATAACAGGAAACTAATACTGTTGAGCCATAACGATCTGTAAGATACGTCACAATTTACTAGTTTAAATTTCAAATTAACAAAGAACCACATTACAGGGGAATGAAGTCAACCGGGAGAGTTTGATTCGTTAGTGAACTGTAGTTGTATTCAGCTGTTCTCATGCTGCTGTGAAGAAACGCCCAACACTAGTTAATTTATAAAGAAAAGAGGTTTAATTGACTCACAGTTCTGCATGGTTAGGGAGGGCTCAGGAAACTTAAAATCATGGTGGAAGGCACCTCTTCAAGGGGTGACAGGAGAGAGAATGAGAGACAGCAGGGGAAACGCTAGACACTTATAAAACCATCAGACCTCTGAGAACTCACTCACAATCACAAGAACAGCATGGGGGAACTGCACCCATGATTCAATTACCTCCCACCAGGTCCCTCCCACGACATATGGGGATTATGGGGATTACAATTCAAGATGAGATTTGGGTGGGGACACAGCCAAACCATATCAGTAGTACTAAAGCCAACTCAGAATTTGAGAGATGGAAGAGACTGTTAGAAATCAACAAAGTCAGTGAGGACACTGAGGCCAGGGAGGGCTTGAGAACCAAATATGCCAATTCTCCTTTCCATTTATGTAGATCTGGGAGAGTTAGTGAATCTTTCCACACTTGGGAAACAAGTTTTTAAGAAAATTATATGAGGAATTTGGGCACCTCGCACAGTATTTGGCCCAAATGTCCTCAAAGTTAGTGCCTGTCCCTAGTGATTTAACAAAGGCCACATGTTTCTCTGGGGGTAGCTCTACCTTCACCTGGTCTTGACCCTGTCATTCAGTCCTCTTCCTCTCCACATTCTCCAGCCATTAAAGTTGCCTTCATTTCTTTGTTCCTGGGGTCTATGAACATCCTGTTCCGAGAGAACTCAAATCAGGTATCACTTCTTTTTCTTTGTAACCTGGAAGTGGTTCTCTGAAGAAGCCATTCAATCCAACCTGAGGCTCCATCAGGTAGGTGAAAAGAGCACCTGAGAACTGCTAGTGTTACTCTTACTAGCTGTGTGACCTAGTCAGAGCCCTTCATCTTTCTAAGCCTAGTTTTTTTCATCTAAAAACAAAATATGGGTATGGCTAGCTCTCTCACAGAATTCTTATAGAAGACAGATGAAACCATGAATGTAAAAGGGATCTGTACATGATAAAATGTTATATAAATGTGATTTTGCCTTATTTGTTTATGAAATTTCTTGGAAGAATTAACAGCACAAATCAAATAGTGATCAATCACCGTTGAAACTCAATTTCTTTGCAGTGTACTGCTTTTATGAGGATGCCCTCAGCATCTTTGGTTTATGTAATGATAAATTTTATATGTGGTGCCAGATGTTCCTTTGTCCCCAAGTTCTGGGAAGCATGTCAGAAAATGTCAGAAGTGACCATTGGAAGACATTCAGGGTAACCTAGTAAAGTTCTTGGTATCTAAGGCTTATGACAGATGGTTTTAACTATTTGGTGCTTCACGTATAAGTCAATTAACATTTAACCCAATGCACTTATTTACAAAAATCTATTTAAGATATAAGACTTTCTGAATGAACATTAAAAATTCTTAAATGAAAATGATTTAAACTCACAGCTATAAAAATAATGTGGTTTTTAATTCAATTAAGATTTGTTCTCCACTGTCTTCCTTCTCTCTTAAAAAGTACAGTTGAAAGGAGAACAACCTAATTTTCTTATTTGTTTGCAAAGTACAGATGAGGGTCTGTCTTCTTATATTTTTATAGATGATCTAGTTTCCAAGGGAGAAGCAAAATAAAGGTTGAAGGCTAAGAATAGACATGTAACATTGCTCCCACCATTACTGAGAAATTAAAAGAGACATCTTTCAGTTTGTGGGGGAAAAAAAAACCATCTCTGGCAGAACTCAAATAATGTCATGACAGAAAGAGCTAAACTCCAAACTGGCGTTTATTATCTCCCTCAATTTTATTTGGTTTTAAGTTATATGTTCTCTTCATTTAGCCATTTTCAGGTGAATTTCAAACCTGTCACTTTCCTTTACTGTACACACATAAAATAAGCCCTCTGAGATTCTAGATCAAGTGGACACATTGCAGGTGAATCACTCTTAGGACTTCTACCACGGCATGCAGAGTGGATGCAGAGGAAACATAAGCAGAAATGGGCCGGACGCGGCGGCTCATGCCTGTAACTCTAGCACTTTGGGAGGCTGAGGTGGGTGGATTGCCTGAGCCCAGGAGTTTGAGACTAGCCCTTGACAACACAGTGAAACCCCGTCTCTACTAAAATATAAAAGAAATTAGCCAGGCATGGTGGCATGCGCCAATAGTCCCAGCTACTTGGGAGGCTGAGGCAGGAGAATCGCTTGAACCCAGGAGACAGAAGTTGCAGTGAGCCAAGATCGTGCCACTGCACTCCAGCCTGGGCGACAGAGCAAGACTCCATCTCTACAAAGAAAAAAAAAAAAGCAGAAATGGACATTTCAAGTACAATGAAATAGAAATTTCAGATTTCTATTTGGTTATATAAAACATCAACTCCAAGTGGCTGGAGCAATAGAAAATGTGTTGGCTCACACAACTGAAAGTTCGGAGTAGGGCTGGCTTCCTTGCTGACTTAATCCTGTGGTTCTGGATGTGTTTTTCCTGACAGTCTTTGGACTCAGCTTTTCTCCACACATTGGCTTCACCTCTAGAGTGGTAGAGAGATAGTACTAACACTTCAGATTTCGCATTTTGCACCCAGCCAAGTTCAAAGAAAGAAAGCAGAGTTATTTTCAGAAGTTTTTGCAGAAAATTAAGAATGAACTTTCCCAGAATCCCTGATCTTAGAGTCCCTAACTTAAGTCCCATGCCCATTTATGAACCACCAACCACCAAAGGAAATTGATTACCTCCAGGCATGCGGTTGTCACAAGAAAGATACTAAGGGAGAAAGCAATAGTGTCCCCAGTAGGCGTTATGAAGAAATGACAGCAAAGCCCACCAGGAATTCCTAAAGGAAAGAATAGCTGCTCATCATTATACGAATGTCAGATCTTGAAAAGCTTTTAGAAATAATCTATTCTAGCCAGGCGCGGTGGCTCATGCCTGTAATCCCAGCTCTTCGGGAGGCTGTGGCTGGTGGATCGCCTGAGGTCAGGACTTCAAGACCAGCCTGGCCAACATAGTGATACCCTGTCTTTACTAAAAATACACACAAAAAAAAAAAGGTGGGCATGGTGGTGGGCACCTGTAATCTCAGCTACTAAGGATGCTGAGGCAGGGGAAATAGCTTGAACCTGGGAGGCAGAGGTTGCAGTGAGTTGAGACTGCTCCATTGCACTCCAGCCTGGGCAACAAGATCAAAACTCCAACCAAAAAAAAAAAAAAAAAGAGATAATCTATTCAAATTTTGCAGTTTATAGGAAAGGAACTCAAGACAACAAATAAATTGAGTTTCCCAAGTTGCACAGCCGAAGGTGGCACAGCTATGACTCTGACTTAGGTGTTATTTCAAATTCATTGTGCTTTCAACACCAGGTTATTTTTTTTTTCATTCTGACTAATAAAAACAAAACCAAGGCATATAATTCTAATTGTCTTTTCATTGCTTTGGGATTCCAGCCTCTGGTGGGTACCATAACTTGTAGAGGGGAAAGGTAAATGCAGTTTATGTGATATAACTTATTTAACTTATTTACAATAACCTTTAGTTTATTTTGAGGATATAGATTACCTTTCAACATCCTGGTCTTGTGTAGCTGTTTTTTTTTCCTTATCAATAAAATTTTAAAAGGGCAACCAATGTTCCGAAAAAGAACTATAGTACTTGGGGAGCAAAACTGTATTAATTTGTGATGGCTGTTGTTTCATAGCATAACCTTCTGTATCTTATCCAACCAGGTTTTATTGTGAGTGGATTATTTGGCTTTTATTGTTTAGTTGTGCAAAACTTTACAATTATTAGAAAGAAATTGCTGTTTTGAAGCTTGTGCTTAATGGGTTATTTAACTGAACAATATTTGCAGTGAATCCTGGGATAACACTTATTTTACTAATCAACTCTACATTTAGAAGGGCTTATACTTAATTATTCCAAAAATAGCTGCATACAGTTTAGTGGGATTTTTTGGGTCCATGTCCCTGAAACAATTTTCTGGGATGAAGAGATTCCAGTGGGAAACCTCGCTGGTATTCTGTTTCAGGCCAGCAACTCAGTCTTTAAGGTAAATCTTTAAAGTCCAATCCTTAATGTAAAACATCAGTCACTGGGCTGGCAGACCAAGCATTTTCATCTGGCCTGTGACTGCAGATCTCTTCCATTGTAATCTGTGTGTGAGAGATTTTAGTGTTTCTATACAAAGACATATGCAAATCTTTTGGAGACATAGTCCCATCAACTGTGTTTCTCAAATTCCCACAAGTAGGTTTTTGTCTTCATGGGAAAACAATTCTAATGTTTTAATAAAGTGTCCAGCTTGTGCATATATTAAACCAGAGAACCTAAACATTCCTTTTTTTTTTTGAGACGGGGTCTTGCTCTGTCGCCCAGGCTGGAGTGCACTGGCTCGATCTCCGCTTACTGCAACCTCTGCCTCTCAGGTTCAAGCGATTCTCCTGCCTCAGCCTCCTGAGTCACTGGGATTTACAGGCATGTGCCACCACTCCTGGCTAATTTTTGTACTTTTAGTAGAGACAGGGTTTTGCCATGTTGCCCAGGCTGGTCTCGACCTCCTGACCTCAGGTGATCTGCCCACCTCGGCCTCCCAAAGTGCTGGGATTACAGGCGTAAGGCACTGTGCCCGGCCAACATTTCTTTCTTATCCCCTTAGTGGTTTTCCAATGAGTAATGTTACCATTTCTAAATATTTGATGAAGGTGATAAAGTGGATTAGTCCTCCACACTTCAGTGACTTGTGGATTTACTCCCAGTTGGGAGCATTTCTGTCCTAGGAATATCAAAATCAGTGACCTTTTGGATGTCAATTTGTTTCTCCATCTGTCCCACAGTAAAGATGTGAGAAATTGGGCTGATACTATTGAGCTATGTTTTACCTCCTTTTAGGTGTCTATATGTTGATTCCCATATATTGAACTTCTTTGGCAAAATTTTTTATATGCTACCTCTCTTCACTAGAGTGCAGATAGCTCACAAGTGAAGGATGCAATAATAAACCTTAAGATTTGTGGCTCATTTCCTGCCCCCTTTTTTAGTATATAGTTTCTCATAGTTTCTTCTAATATTCTAGTTTTTTTCCCACCCAAACAAAATTATCTATGTTTTTCTAGCCAAGTAATGTTAATTCAGTTACAGTGGTACACATTGGAAAAAAGTAATGTTATAGGAAAATGTGTTTCATTTTCTGAATTTTTGTCAGCTTTGTCATAAGGGGAGTTGGACCAGCATAGCCTATGTTAAGAACAACCAGCATAGCCTATATTAAGAACAATCTATGAAATAATCTTTTATACTTGTCAATAATCAAATTAGAGCTTGAAGGAAACAGACGTAGTCTTAATAACTTTCAGAATCATGTCACCTGTTTAAATTAAAGGGAACTTTAACCAAGTAGGCGGGTTGTTAACTCGAGGCATTGTTATAAATCCTGATTTTACGTAATTATTTTTGAGCCTTTTATTTTTGTGTGGGTCGATGGGAAGAATGGCTGTTAGCCTATCTGCATAAGGTCTATGTTGTCTGCATATTATCCTTTCTTAACTTAAATCTAATTTTTATATACAACATACAAGACATGAATTGTATTTGTTTAATTTAAATTTTCTTTTAAATTTTACTTCCTGTTCAGGTTATTTCTTGTCTCTTGCTCAGAGACTGATGGCTTACTCTCTGTATTTGAACCCCTAGTTCTCTTGGTCTCAACCCTGGATGTGCACTTCCTTTCTTTGTCTGTCTAGTATTTAGGTTTCTAATATGGATCATTCTCGTGGCCACCACACTTCACGCCAAGCTCGACGATAACCATCCCAGATTATAATCCTTGAGCCCAGTGAGGCATTTCAGGTTCTAAAAGTCACCTATACTGACCCATCTTGTCTTCCCCTTAATTATAATGGAAGCCTGAGATCATGTCTTACCCCAACAATGAAGTCTACTGTAATCCAATGAAAATATTGAAAAAAACTTATTGGGAGCACGAACTGGTGGCCTGGGAATAGGACCAGCTCACAGACAAGTTTTATTTAGCCAGACATGTATTTTAGAAAAATCTGAGTGTGTTCAGACAGAACAGGGACTCTCAGGTTTGAGTACGTGTTCCTGACACTCAGGTGTCCTAAATCACACTACATTAACGTTACCTGTTTGTCCCTAAATGTATTTGACATTGTGACAGTGAAGACTGGCTTTGACCATCCAATTATTTTAGGTTACCCCTATTGTGATTTTATTTTTTTTTAAGAAAATGCATCCTTCTATCATTTCTAAACTGAGATTTTGTGGGTGCTATGATGTCCTATCTGCTTAACATATTTGACATTGTTTTATTCTTGGTGATGATCCAAAGGCAAACATGAGTGACTAGAAGTAAGACCTCTGCAGTATCCTGAAGGTATGAGCAGCTCTAACACACTGAAGACTGTGACCATGATGAGCTACTATTTGAGACTCTGGTGAATATGCTTCTGGGTGGATTTAGGCAGTCCTTTGTGGCATGAATGTTCCTTCCATCTTTTTAAAGGACAATGCAAAATGTATTCCTTTATATTTGATTATTTTGGTGTTTTATTAGTTATGATCAGGCTTGGTTACAAGCGATTAAAAAACAAGAATAACAGTGCTCCTTAAAAAGTGATCAAATGTTTATTTAACTCTCACTTAAGAGGCTGAGGAGGTGATCCAGGGCTGGAATGAGCTCAGGCTCCTTCTGATTGGCTGCTTCATACACCATCCTTAAGGCTTTCCCGATGTGATCCACATGGCTGCTTTAGCTCCAGCCATCACGTTCACATTCCAGCCAGAAGAAAGGAAAATAAGTCAAGAAAGGGCACATCCCCACCTTCTAAGGACTCATGCCAGAAATTTCACACACACATATCTCCATTTATACCCCTTTCTCTACAGTTTAGTCATCTGGCCATAACCACACACAAGAAAAGTTGGAAAGTAGGATTCTTCTTGCAGACAAGTGCATAGCTAAATACTGGAGGTTCAATTATTATAGAAGAAAAAGAAAATGGATATCGAGGAGCAGCTAATCTCTAATTTCAATATACATAACAGAATCATTATTTCAATAACTTAATTTTTCATCGTTTATGTAACCATCACAAAGATATTTGTTTTCTGCCCAGAAAAAATAAATGCACATACCCGAACACACCCAACATGTCTGAATTCAAAGGTGAAAAAGCCCTAGCTCCCAGATGTATTATTTACTTTAATAATATCTATGATTATTATAAATGAAAAACCTTTGCTATGGATGTTTTAAATGCTAAAATATTTTACACTGAGTGCCTATGGCCATTTTAGTTTACTGGAATAATCTAATATATGATGGATTTATATGTCAAATTTTTCCATGAGAAATGACTATAAGTGCAGCAAATAAGCAATTCTGAAAAAAAAAATGAGAAAGGATGGCCCAACACATGAGCTTCTCATGGAAAATTAATTAGGTGCTCACGGCTCCCTAGACCTCCTGGGAGCCACCCCAAGAGGAGTTTCAGAGAGCCAAAGAAATGGCATAAATAAACCATGGTGAGCCACCTGCAGAATTAGAGAGGTGGCTAAAAGGTTATGTGCCATCAAAGAGCTGGTCAAGAAGCCTGAAGGAAGGCCATCTCTGATGGAAGATAGAAGTTGGCAGCTGACTGCTGTGGCCAAAGCAGCTGCCGACAGATGGTGAGAACAGAGAGTTGTCCTGCAAAGCTTCAGTGTGGTGTCTGGGGAGCACTGATATGGAGCCTTTTTAAGCGCTTGCTGGAAAAAGAGGTGACCCCGCTCAGCTGTTTGGGGCCACGAGCCTTTAGGATGTTAGCTTTGGCAGCAAAGACCCCATCTGCAGAGTTTCCATTTCGAGACACTCGCAGAGGGCCCAGTGCCTGCATCTGCATTTATCCAAGGGGAGCCTGCAGGGTTCCCTCTACCTGGGGACTTGGAAGCTCTTGCAGAGAGCACTCAATTGTCCTTCCATATGAGGTCAAGGAGAGAACTGTGACCCCTGGTCCTTGATGTCTCCCATGCAGCTTTGGTATCTCCATACAAGCGATAGCTGTCACCCTGTGAATAGCGATGGAACCTGAGGATTGGGCTTCACTCAGGAGCAACTGAACCAACATCTGCTCCTCCAGGAGAAGTTCCTCATCATCAATCTGAGGGATGAGAGAATAAATAGAACATAGAAGGGCTCCTGAGTGCTCAGAAAATAAGGAGAGAACTCTCAAAAGTCATTGGCGAAGTGGAATGAGGCTAGAAGCCCATAATCTCAAAAAATGAAGAAGAAAAAATATGAAAAGAGAGATGACATCAGGGCAAACCCCAAAAATCCAGAAACAAGAGAGTGAATGTACAAACATCAATGGCCAGACCATATATAAAAACAGAACTACAACCCACAGCCTGCAGCAACCTGCCCTGGAGACTATCCCACCTCTATGTAGCCAGCCAAGGAAGCCAGTATGCTACTTATAAGTCAGACTTGTAGAAAGTAAGTTCTTATCTCTCATAACAACTCAGGAAGTCAAGCAATAACTTCTATAACAATTGTCAAAAATGGCCAGGACTTGATCAATAAATTACAGCTTCCTTAATTTTTGTCCATCCTTCCAATTTAGGACCAACTGGAAAAAGCAAAATATACCCCCTAACCAATCAAATGGGATTCCCATTTCTAGTGAGCCACCTCCAGCTTCCTCATGCCAACAGCCTCTAATCAGCGCACACTGGAACCTTCCCTTTCTGCCACTCTAAAACTTTCCCACTCCTCTGCCTGCCTTTGGATTTCTGCCAAAATGCAAGTGATGGTGACTAACTGTCTTGCAAGCTCTGAATAAATAGTTTTCTGGTTCTCATTTGGTTGGTCTTCATTTATTTCTGCAGAAACTATGCATCAGCTCTCAGTCCAAACATATCATTATTTGTTACCTTATCCTCCTGTCCAGGAAGCCTTCTTCTCCCTTCCCACCTATCCACATCATACACTTTCTTCCAAACCCGACTGCCTCCAAAACCCTACCCCAGATAGCGGCGACTAATCTGACACTTTTGGTCCACAGTGGTTGGTGATTCCTATCACCTCCTGAAGGCCACTGGCATTCTATATCTCTAGAGTGCATTTTGGGGCTTGAATTATTTGTGTTACTGGTTGTCTTACTGTCTAATTCAGATGTGTTTCAATGTCTTCCCACAAAACCCTGAGCATTTACTAAGGTGTCTCTCTCAGCAGTGTTACTCAAAGGGGGTCCACCGAGGCAACGTCAGCATTCCCTTGGGATGTTTCAGAAATGCTTATGAACTGGACCCTGCTCCCAATCTGTCTAATCAGAAAGCCTCTAGAGGATTGTGGTACACATTGGTTTTTTTTTTGAGAGGCCCTGCAGCCTCTGGCATGAATCAGTTCATAGGTCCTAGGAAGTATTCAGTGAATACTCACAGAACAGAATTGATTACTTCCTTTAAATGAACCAAAGCTTCAAATAGAAGCACTGCCTTTTGTTTCAAGGACTGAACACATGAAACTGAATGAAATTTCTCTGGCCTGAGAACAAAAGTAAAAAACATATTGAAACACAGCTCCTCCCAACACATTCAGCCATCACACACTTAGACACTTCAAAGAATAGAGATTTTTATGGCGTGTGAAGAGTGAGTTAAGTACTAGCAAATTCTCAGATTAACAATAGTGCCGAAGAAGCTGCCTACTAGATGGTAGTTTTTTTTTTTTTTTTTTAAAAAAAAAAGGAAGCTAATGACCATGGAGAGGGCTGGTTCCTAACCAGGAGCTGCATCAAAAGCCAGACACTCAGATGCATGAAGAAGTCTCAGGTACCTGGGAGGGAAGGGAGTGTAACGCAGTCAGGAAATGGAGTAGTGCCAAGTATCAAGGCAAAACTGCCTGCAACAAAGTATTTTTCTTTCTCCCCAAGTGTGGCTGTGTATGCAAAACCTGGGCTCTGTTAACAGTTGGAGCCAATTGGAGAAGTGAAGCATGTAAAATTATGTTGAGGGGGAGTCTTGCATGCGGTTTGTGCAGGGTGTGCAGCTATAATCACTACTGAAAGAAAATTAGCTGCCCTAGTCAGATCCTGGATACCTCTAATAGCTTCGGTTTAAGGAAGTAAGGCCAGATGACTGGGTTTTTTTTTTTTTCTTATTATTTTTCAGAAAACACACGAAGTTGGCAAGAGAAAGGACATCTGAAATTCATGAAAATGATCGCGGCACTGGCCTTGCATGTAGACCCCTGGCAACCAGCAACTCTGCAAACACTGTCACTTTCCCATCACTGTGTTTTCTAAGTTGTCTGTGGGGCTCTTCAGTAATGGGGGCTGCAAAGAGTTTGAGGACAGACAGTGAGTCACTTGCTGGCTTTGCTACAGCATCCAGAGACGATCTGAAACAAAGTCCAGGCTGCTGCTGCTAAGTGAGAAGAAAGATAGCCTTTGGGGTCAGCAGGCCCCTTATCATAAACTACTAAATAAGCATGTTTCATACAAACAACAGCCTTCATTTTAAACAGGCCTTACCTCCACTGCACAGACTCCATATGCTTCTTAAGAATCAAACTTAAACTGGAAGATAAAGTCTGAGGTTTGGGATTGGCAGTGTTGTGTATGCTGTCTCGCTGATGTGAAATACTGATAATAAATCCAAAGAAAAGCAAGTATATTTAGTCCAAGAATACCTTCATTTCCTTTCTAAAAACAAAACATGATTAAAATCCCACACAAAGAGGTGAGCCTGCCTGTAGACCGGAAGGCTGGTAAATACATTAACGACACCTTAAAATCTGAGTCTTACCATGCCTTGGCAATTAGACCAGACAGTATAGAATGAAGAACTAAAAGCCGCTTATGGGCCCCTGGGCCACAGATTTCATAAAAAATTAATGCTGAGTGAAATAGAAACCATCTGAACTACAGCTGGCAAACATGTGCAGGGCTTTGATCGCCAAGGCCCAGCAACAAAGAGCATTTTCGGTTATTGTTTGTTCGACTGGGACTTTCTTCTGTCATATTTCCTGCCTATGCTGAAAGGCATTTTGAGACTAGAGAAGAAGTGGTGGGAAGTGAGGGTTGAAATAAAGATGGTAGTTGGCTGTTGTATTTAGAATAAATGGGCAGTTCTAACCTGCTATGGTTAACAACCCTGGTCCAGAGAACATGAGTAAGGGTCCACAGGCAGAGCCACTGCGAGGCACTCGTGAGATAGAAGAACCAAGGGGCAAGGTGTCCAAGACGGATGTTCAATGTTGCTCTTCCCTTCACCGAGAAGCTTAGGGGCTGACCGTAAGTCTTTTGCGGGAAAGGACCTCTCTCTTGCTCCCTGCAAATCCCTTGCAGCACATAACAGAGTCCCTGACCCGTATGAGGGTCCCATAAAAACTATTCTGTTGACAGACCAGAGTGGTAGAGTCACCCCACCTACAGGGGTGGTCTCCAATAGGTACCAGCTAGCTGCCACATTCTAATGTCCCCATCCCCTGCACCAGAAGACCTGTGCCTACACTGCTCAGAGGGTGAGGAGAAATCCAATCATATCTTCCAGGAGCACCATGGGCCCAGCTCTAAGAGAGATCTTGGAATGTGTAGATTTGAAGGGAAATTTTGAGTAAGAGAAAGATAGGAGTTTGGAGAAGGTGTACTTTAGCCAAGACAATGGACTTGGTTTTAAAAATGTCTGTTTGAGTCTGAAATCCGTAATGTGCCAGGTGTGTGATTATGAGCAAGCCCCTTTGCCTCTCCAAGCCTCAGTTCCCTTGTATGAATAAAGCATTTTAGGGAGCACAAATCATTCTTTACACTTGCAGTTATTTAGTGCTCCCTTTTATGTGGCTCTCAGCCTCAGAAGCCAAAGTTTAAGTGAGTGGCTGACTGTTTAAGATAAAGGTGAAATAAAAACCAGTGGTGCATATACAATTCACTAAAAACTTTTACTTTCTTTTTTTGTCAGCAACCCTATTGCTTTCACTGACATAAGAGATTCCACTGACTTTAATTCATTAATTAACTTGTATTTTTGTACATATATTATATGCCAGATTAGGTCCACAAGGAACATATTTGTTATAGGAGGAAAACACAGAATATTTTGAAGTCTATTAAATCGTGGAAACAGACTTGTTGACGAAATTCCAAAACACTAGCTTTTAATATAGTTTCCCCTTCTTGACTGCAGGCCTTAAAGATAGATACAATTTCCTACTCATCACAAAGTCTGTCAATAATAGATAGATAAATATTACCATATTAATTATATTGCTATATATTACAGCATACTCAATATTAGTGTTGTATTATTATTATAAACAGCAGGTTAGATAAATATTTATTTGATGAATGTGTCTCAGTTATCTATTGCGATGTAACACACTATCCCAAATATTAGTGGATTAAAATAACAGCCACTTTGTTTCATTGCTCACAATTTTATGATTTTGGCAGGGCTCAGCAGGGCAGTTTCTCTCTGCTCCATGCACCATCAGCTGCAGCTCCTTGACTGGGGCCAGAGGATCCACTTGCCAGGTGGCACACTCGCGTCCTCACTCGTGCTGCAGGTTGGCAGAGATGGCTGATGCCTGGGCTCCGGTAGGATTATGAGGCAGCTGGACTCCTCTCCCTCCCTGCACATTCTCATGTCCCCACCGCTCCATGTGGCCTCTCTGTATGGTTTCTCCATGTTAGCTGGACTCCAGGAGTGTAGCTAGACTTCTTAATGTTGGTTAAGGGTTCTAAAAGCATGAAAAGGCAGCTGTTAGGACATCATATAGCTTAGGTGGAGAACTGGCATAGGGCCACTTCCACTGCACCCTGTTGGTTGAAGCCAGATTCACTGTGGAAGGGGACTACACATGGCTGGGAATACCGGGAGGCATGGATGGTTGATCCATCCTTGGAAACTAGCTAATCCCAAATGAATAAATGAACACAATCATTAAAGAACCCTTCAGGTTTGAGGGTGAATGTTTAAGAAAGTACTACATAAAGCCATACCTAGCTATAATATGTGTGTGTGTATATATATATAGCATATATATGTATATAGCAGATATACACACACACACATATATGTGTATATATATGTATTTGTGTATATATATATGTGTGTGTGTGTATACACATATATATATATATATGTAATGGTATCCCAGGAGGTTGCATACAAGGTGAAAATATAGTAGAGACATAGGCCATGTCCAATTCCATAAAACACAATATCACATCATATCACACAGTTAAGCTTATAAAACATTATTGATTCTGTTTCCCAGAACAGAAAGTTTTCATAGGCTTTGTGATCATGAAATCAGATGGAACAATCAGAAGGAGTTTGAATAATCAGGGACAATGGACTTTATTAAGTCATGGCTGTTGGAAGACTTCTTTTTGGCTTTTCGAAGAATTCTAGATCATTATCACTCATAGAAGCCAGCAGGAGAATCTTGGACCACTAAAAGCCCCTTATAAAATTTCTTATATTTTTGGGCATCTGTGCTGTCTTTTTCAGAACATAGGCATAAGGAACTCTTCTGGGTAAGTTACACTGTCTATATTTATTAATACACACATGCACACACACACGTATATATAAACAACTTTTGTTTAAGTTAAAACTGCATTGTGGGAAATATTTTTAGTGAATCATGATATATGTCCATATGATAGAGTTAGTGTTTCTGATGCTATTTTAACCACTTATAGTTACCATTGTGAGAGGAGAAATGCATTAACAAGAAACACTTTCACAGGAAGGGCTCTGGCACAGTTATCTGAAACTTCACTGCAGAAATTGCTGAGGGAGCATCAAAGAAAGGAGAACTTGCCCCTTTATTTGGCTGTTTTAGCACCCACACATGCGATTATGCAATGGCCTTTGGCTTTCCTTAGAAATTCATAGATCATTATCCAGAAGTTCTGCTGTTAGGAAGACTCCAGCTGACATCATGTCCCTTCCATTTCTGGCCTTGTGTTAGTGCTTCACCTCATCAGCAAGAAGGTGCAGTTGTGCGACTACAACAGAGGGCAGCGGCACTCTTGGGCAAGAGTGCCCAAGACAGGGGCACCCTGCTGACCCATAGCCACAGACCTCATTAGAAGAGTTTGGTGAGATGCCCGTGGGTCTGCCCAGGAAGCCTACCTGGATGTGGGCTTCCAGAAAGAACTGGCAACATGTGGAAGCTGGTCCCTTCACTGGCAACCATGTGGAAGCTGGTGCCTTCACTTGGTATATATCAAATAAAATCAGTCTCTGACCCACTCCCCAGACATCTTTCTTATATAGCTTAAAAATGGAAGGCATTGGCTGGGCGCGGTGGCTCACGCCTATAATCCCAGCACTTTCGGAGGCTGAGGCGAGCGGATCACGAGGAGATTGAGACCATCCTGGCTAACACGGTGAAACCCCGTCTCTACTAAAAATACAAAAATTAGCCGGGCGTGGTGGCGGGCACCTGTAATCCCAGCTACTCAGGAGGCTGAGGCAGGAGAATGGCGTGAACCCGGGAGGCAGAGCTTGCAGTGAGCTGAGATCGCGCCACTGCACTCCTGCCTGGGTGACAGAGCAAGAGAAATAGACCCTTACATATACATATCCTCACATATACATATCCTCACATATACAACCACAACCAGCCAATTATAAATCTCACCCCTTGACAAGCATGAATTGCACATGAAGCTCTTGAAGAGGTTCTAGACAGAAAATACTGCAATAAATGCTGATAATGGCCTCTTCAAATTATCCAAAATTATTAGCAACTTAAATATTCACTTCCCTGATATGAGGATGATAATGAGAAAATACAGGTAATAACTATTACAAAAAGTTAAAATATTCATCATGGATGAGTGAAGGTTGTCCAGTGCACACATACCATTACTGGTAATATTTATTTAGAGCTAGCTTCTTGCCAGGGACTATACAAACCTTTTTATAGGTATTCTCTTCTTTGATCTTCATAATCTTGTGAGGTATACATTATTAGGATCACCATTTTACAGGTGAGGTTAAGTAATGTGCCCAAGGTTACATAGATAGTAGATTCTAACTCCAGCTGCCATATTACTCTTGGGAACACTCCAAAGCTCCTACTGTACTTGTACACACACACACACACACACACACATGCACACATATGTGCATACACATTTAGTCAGCATTCTGATAGTTTTACTGAAGCAAGCATTGTTTTTATAGCATCCCCATTATCTGGTGTTGGTTGTGGTTTTCAATTGCCACTACTCTTTAAATTAATAGCTTTGTAATAAGTTTGTGGAATTACTATTAGGTTTCACTTTCATTGATTATTTTGTTCATACACATTGCTGTATTATTTTAATTACTAATTTTTTCATAATGTTTTGTTATCATTGAATTTTTCCTCTGGCAAAGTGAGATACTTGGGATGGGTGGATGTGGGGTCTCTTGCTTCACTTAAGGAAAAGTATTGAATTAAACCATGCATGCATCTGTGTCATATGCAGTGAGGCTGGCATGACTGATGTCTCTTCCCACTGTGGGTGTTTCTAGCATTTTTTATGAAATTTTCTTTTTTTATGAATTTTTCATTTTTTATGAAATTTCTTTCCTTTAAACTTGAAAAATCGTTATCTGTAACAGACCTACTTCTAGTTGACCCTTCGTCATGTTTTATAAAGTCTTTTCAAGTTTAAAAATCTCTTGGAGTCTCCTTAAACTCCATCAGGACTCTGGAGGAGTTAGGAAGCCAGTGGAGAAAGTTTTCTGGAGCTAAACCCTCAGTGCTTCCTCAGTCCTTCCCTTCCACCTGCATACTCGCTCATATGCACGGCACACTTGCTCACACAGATGTGCACACACTCACAGACACATACACTCACGTAGACAATGCATACACACAGAGGCATACATGCTCAGAAATACCCATACACACAGATACTCAGACACACTCAGTCGCTCACACAGATGTGTGCACAGTCACATGCAGACAGACATATACACTCACAAATATATAGCCAGACACACACAGACACACATATTCACAGGGAGTTGTTTAATGGAAACAGAGTTTCAGTTTTGCAAGACAGAAACATTCTGGAGATGGGTCATACAATACCATGAATAGCCTTAACACTACTGAATTGTATACTGAAAAATGGTTAAGATTATAAATTTTATGTGTATTTTACCACAATTAAAATTTTTTTTAAGACAGAGATATTTACTGTAAGAAGGTGGGTACATTAGTTAAATCTTTCTTTCCTAAGGCGAGAACAGCTTTCTTCCATTTGCCTGCCATGAGGTGAGGCAGCCCCCAGCAATCCATCACTGCTCCTCGGGAAGGTAGATTACAGGTGATCGTAGATCCCTGGCAAGAGTGGGCTATGCCCAGGGAAGCCAAAGCAAAGAGAAAACTCCTGCCATCTGGACCTGTCCCTGGCATGGGTTTTCATCTTTCCTGAAAGAAGAAGGAAAAGAGGCTGTGGGAGACATGGTCCTGTCTTAGATCCCACGCCCTATTGTGGTGGCAACTGCGATGATGCTTTATAAATTCCTTTTAAAATGTCATTGCCAGACTTTGTGAAAACGCTCGTGAGGCTTTGAAAAATATGTGAATGGATACAGAGGGCCGCTTGCCTTCCCCCACTGCTCACTACTGTGGCTAGAACCTGACTACAAACTGCCCACCCAGCCTCCCTTCCATCCTCTCCCCCAGGACACTTCCATCTGGAGTGGAAAGTTTTCTCCAGCTCCTACAGGATGAAGGGCAGTGCAGGAGAAAGACTCTCCCAAGAGACGAACTTGGGTCATTCATGTCAGAGGGTCTGGCATCTTTGAACAAGGCCAGTTGTTATTTATGTATCTACTCACCTCCCTCTGGAATTACATCTATAACCAACAAAATCCAGGTCTTGTTCAGCTGGAAAAAACCAGCAGCGTCCAGACATGACTGGGTTTTTTGTTTGTTTGTTTGAGATGTGAAGTTTTGCATGTAAATCAAATAGAGTTTGCCAGAAAATTCATTGCCTGAACAAATATGGTCTGCTCCTTGGGTATTGCCAAGTAGGAGAAAGATGGTTTGTCTGGAGAGACTGCAGAGAAAAGTGTCAATACCATAGAAATGAAAACTCAGAATTAAAGGATCAAGGTAAGGGGATCCGGAATCCCTCCTCCCACGTATTTTCTGTTTACTCACAACTCCCAAAGTTTACTACATATTTCTGAGAGACGCCAGGATCCCAGAGTGATGTGTTTAGGAATTTTTACCCTGCTTCTTGGGGAGGCAATGGGGTGAGCCCTTCAGCTTCAGAAGAGTGAGAAGGTATGCCCAGGCCCGTGCAGCCAGAGGGAGTTCACGTCTCCTTGGAGGTCTCATGCTGAGCTGGTAAGGCCAAGAAAGTAGGGGCAGAACTGGATTACCCTTGTGACGTTCTCATTGGAGTCTCCTCGTGCTCCAGGCCTATTGACATCTCATGTGAGGGACTGGCCATGCCATGATGAAAGAGCACAGTGTGTTGTGGCAGTCCTGGAACTGTTTGCCCAGAGAGCCTTTCCTCACCCTTTCCCTGTATGGATGCAGTAAAGAGTTAACATAGCAAACCTGAAACTGGCTTAGAAAGCCCTACTTGCAAGCTTGGCCCTTGTCTGGCATCTGGGAACTTGGACTTCAGGAGTCTTCCCACTGTTCCCTAACTGACAAGTGGGGCTGGCTGGGCCTAAACTGTACAAAAATTGTGGCTCATGCTTAACACCTGCTTCCTTCAGGGAGTCTGGAAAATGGCTATGAGCTAGGTAGAGGGTACCTATGTGACCAGCCCCCCATAAACACCCTGAGCACTGAGCCTCTGGTGAGCATCCCTGGCAGATGACATTATATCAGTGTTGTCACAACTCATTGCCAGGGTTGGTAGGCACAGCCCATGTGCCTTGATTAGGACAGGACCTTTGGGAACTTCTGCCTGGTCCTCCAGACTTTGCCCAAGTGCCTTTTCTCTGCTGATTTGGATTTGTATCTTTTCGTCATGATTTATCGTGTAGTATATATGATATATGTACATTTGTATCTGATCATAGCTACGTGGGTGGCCGAGTCTGGTGAGTCCTCCTAGTGAATCACAGAACCTGGGGGTAGCCTTGGGGCCCCAGCACAGGAGTGGTGGGGCTAACTTTGCAGGCGGTATTTTCCAGAGTCCTTTGTCAACTGATTCTAGTGGAGTTCAGCAAAACGGCAGACAAGGGAGGGAGAGGGAGCGGGAAGAAAGGGACAAGCTAGGATCATTCTTCCCTCCCTCTTGACCTCAGACAGTGTTTCTTGGAATTATGGGATCTAAAGCTCCCACCAGACAGGACCACACGGTTCCAGTGCCTGACCTACCCTCAGTCCTCCCGCTACAACGACACCAACTCCTCTCTGCTGTTGCTAATTGTGGAGTTGATTCACCTTCTCGTGTTTGGTTTCTTGTCTCTTCTCTCACCTGTGTAACCAATCCCCTGCCTTAAATTCCTTCTTTTAGAAAGACCTAAAGTGGTTTTTGTTTTCCTGGATGAACCCCGTCTGTTACATGCCTTAAATATTTACATGGCTCCACTTCCATGCCAGGCAGGGGGCATTCAGAAATAAAAGACACCATCCCATCCTTAAGGACCTCAGAGCCTATGCACCTGTGGAAGTTGCATCCCTAGCACAGTTCAAGATTCACTGTGTGACCAGAAACCTTTGTTCTGATGTCTCAGCCATATAACCATGAGGAATACCCTGTAAAATGAATGGGCTTCAACCGCATTCTAGGGCTTGGTGGCTTAGACACATTTTTATCGACTTTGTTTAGCACAAGGAAAGCCATTGCATTTATGATGCTCTTGAGGTTAGTGGTTTGGGGGAGTCAGAAAGCCAACCACTGTGTGTGTATGTTCACAAAGCCAATAATTAGTCTAAGGCCAAAAGTGACACCGTGGAGGTGGTTGTGAGGGTGACAATCCTGTTCTGAATGCACAACTCAACCCCAAGTCCCAGGGGTACCTGGCATCTGCGTAACCTCATCTGAAGGGTGCAAGGGTGGCTGCTCATCCTCCAACCCCACATGGATGAGGGTATCTTGGAATTCTAGACACTCAGATTTGATGTTTGCCAGGAGAACTACCAGAATATGATCGTTAAGGATTGGGGGAGGGTTTAAAAATACTGAGGAGACCTGAAATTGTATGAATGCTGAGGGGAAGCAGTGCTAGACATCTTTAGGGTCTTTCTCTAGCACTCAGCAAGGGATGTGGCAAAGACGGCCTTTGGATAGTTAAGTGGTCAGCAGCCTCTCTCCAGGGAACTCTGGCTGGAGTCCCTACCTTTTTGTACTCTAGTGCAGGTACAGCCAAGGAAACAGAAAATGATCATGCAGTGTGAGGAGCACTACAACAAGGCAAACTCCTTGCAAGACAACTGGGGAGTCAGTGGAGGGAGACTGGGCAGGGAAGAAAGATGGCAGAGGAAGATGATAGGGAAGAAAGATGGAAGCCAAATGGCAGAAGCTTAGTGATGAAGAGGAGGAGAGGAGAAACAACAGTGGAAGGCAGGGAGGGTAGATTGGTGTTGGGGGAAGGTTTTTTAAAAATACTGGAGACCTCAAATTGTATGGATGCTGAGGGAAAGAGCAGTGCTAGAGGCAGGGTCCAGCTTGTATAGGCCTTGTCAGTTTCAGCTTGCAATTTATCCAAAAAGCAAAGAGAAGTAGCCATATAAGGGCTTTGTGCAAATAATTTGATTTCGGATTTTAGCCCTGAAATGCTCATTCTGACTGCACTGTAGAGAATGGACTGGAAAGGGGTACATACACGGGTAGATTCAAGGGCTGTTTAAGAGGTAGGATAGAAAATATTTGCTCAAGGATCGGATTTGATGATTGAGGGAGAGAAACAAGGAAGCCTCAAGAATGATGCCCATGTGTCTGGTGTACCACCTGCGTGCAAAGTGATGGTATTCATTGAGGTAGGGAACTCCTGAGATGCACCAGGTTTTCCAGGAAAGTGATACATCTCATGTTAGACATGATGAGCGTGTGTTGTCACTGGGATGTGACAAATGAGGATAGCCAGTAGGCACTTAGATACGGGAATCTGCAATTCTGGAAAAGATCTTGGCTAAAGACCCAGATTTGGGAGGTGTCAGGATATAGATGGAATTTGAAAACTATGGGAGTTCCTCAGACAATCAAGGAATATTGCGCTGCACTGGAGGAAACCACAGAGTGTTCAATGTCAAGGAGGCCTAGGAAAAATACCTTCAAAGACAGAGTTCAATGCTTCCAAAAGGTCAGGTAAATAAGAACTGAATCCTGTCTTTTGGCCTGAGCACAGGCCTTGGAGACCGTGACCTCCACTTTCAGTAGAATGATGAGGCGGAAGCCAGATGGCAGATACTTAGTGATGAAGGGGAGGAGAGGAGGAGTAACAGCAGGAGTGGGGACATAGGTTGGGGGAGGTTTTTAAAAAAATACTGAAGAGACCTGAAATTGCATGAATGCTGAGAAGACCCACTATTAGCAAGCAGGAGCTTGAAGCTGCAAGAGGAAGAGTACGTAAGAGTCACAGCAAAGCCCCGGAGAACAAGGCAACGCAGAAGCCTGGTTTGGAGATGCAGAGGGAGGAGGGACCTTTCCAACTTCAGTAACAAGAAGAAAGAGGAAAAGATAGATAAGGTTGCAGGCAGGTTCATAGATTGGTAGCAGAAAATTGAGAGAATTTCTAACCAATGGCATCTTTTTTTTTCTTCTTTATAACATTGGGAGATTGAGTGGCAGGGTCAGAAATTTGAAGACAGTAAAGAAGGTTAGAAATAGCCATGTTTGACTGGGTGCGGTGGCTCACGCCTGTAATCCCAACACTTTGGGAAGCCAAGGAGGGTGGATCACCTGAGGTCAGAAGTTCGAGACCAGCCTGGCCAACATGGTAAAGCCCCATCTCTACTAAAAATACAAAAATTAGGCGGGCATGGTGGCATGCACCTGTAGTTCCAGCTACTTGGGAGGCTGAGGCAGAAGAATCACTTGAACCCGGGAGGTGGAGGTTGCACTCCAGCCTTTGCAACAGAGCAAGACTTCATCTGAAAGATAGAAAGATGAAAGAAAGAAAGAAAGAAAGAGTAAAAGAAAAAAATTAAAATTTTAGGGGGAAAATTTTCTAATTTTTGAACATGCACTAAAATGATTTTCAGAGAAAACCAAGTGTTATTTTCTAATCTGCATGGCATTATTAAAGATGTTTACTCATCTTCCTTGGGGCTAGGCATCCCATTCCTGCAGGAAGTCTTGTGGTTAGGCGGTGGCTGTGGCTCTGGGATGATTCAGGAATGCAGACCATGCCTTATTTGCACAGGAGGGACACGTTGCTCTCACTGCATGCATGGTCACAACTGTCTGTGTGACCTGTCTGTGGGAGGGCAGACCCCCCTCCTGCCAAGCCACAGTAGCAGCTGACCTGCCAGGCAAAAGCATTCCTTTGTAAAGGAAACCCTCCCAGACCCTCTGACCAAAGGGGACGGGTGGGGACTTCCTGGCACTGCAGGGCCCCTTGCCTGGTACTCCCAGCAACTGGTTGCGGTGGGGAGGGCAGATCTAGGGATGGGGATGGGGAGGAGAAGTGGGAATGGGAAATTGGGAGTCAGAGGGGCAAGTGGGAGAGAAGGGCGCACCTGCCGGGATAACAGGCCAGATGAAGTAAATAGAAAATCCTCTGAGCTCCCCTACTGGCTCCAGCTGTGGAGAAGGGGGAGGAGAAAACCCTGTGGGACAGGGGAGGAGGGTGAGGGCTCCTCTTAGGAAGTTATTTAAGAGCCAACTGTCTTGTCTTTCCCGAGTCCGTTTGAGGAAGTCCCCGAGGCGCACAGAGCAAGCCCACGCGAGGGCACCTCTGGAGGGGAGCGCCTGCAGGTAAGCCACCGACCCTGCACCCTATGAGCCAGGGCCCGCTGCGTCCACCTTCTGCACCTCGGTTTCCTGGTTGAACCAGCAAGCGGCTTGCTCTGGGCCCTGTGGCGCCGGTCACAGGCAGCTCCACTTGCCCAATCCTGGCTTCCCGCCCCCAACTCCGCACCTGCCCAGCCCAGCTTCTAAGCGGGACTTCTCTCAGGCTCTCGAGGCAGCTCTCCCGAAGCCGTTGCTTGCTTAGAATGCCACCAAATGGGGATGGGGGAGTTGGAGGTGCTTCCCCAAGGGACGAGCCCCCTTTCCTCAGGGAGCAGATTATGGAGCTGGAACACAAAAGGTGGAGGGAGTGGGGCCAAGTGAGAACAGCCTGCTAGACTGGAACCCCGCCGGCTTGGCTCCCCACTCCTGCGCGCCTCCCCACTCCTGCGCATCGCCTGCCTCCGTCCCAATTTGGAGCTGAACTCGAGCCACTTCTCCTCCTTAGACCCGCCCAGAAGCGAGGGCTCCTGCCCGCCGCACTCACCCAGCCAGGCGTGCACCTGGGGCTCCCCCCTTCTCCCCCTTAGCACTGTGTCTCCCGACAGCGCGCCACACTGTTCTGCACCCCTGGCAATGCCGCAGCCTACCTTCGGTATTTCTCACTAGAGGATGGCTCTCGCAGCCTTCTCCCTATCATTAACCCTTTTTCGCTCTTCTCCCTCCCTTCCCCCGTCAGCTCACCAATGACTGTAAATATATTTATCTATACTTATGGATACCCATTCACACCTTATGCATCCAAACACTCCTGTCTCCTTCTCAGACCAGACACCTTAGGCGTGGTTGTCTTTTCTCCAGCATGTTGTTAGTGCTCCACATGTCTCTGGAACCATCTCTCTACTCTGGTGGCCTCTATAATGGGGACTCTTCACCTCTTGGGGGTGTGCCTGGTTTTTGAAAATAGCCAAGTCTCCAGGAGTCATGACTGGGTAATCCAGGGGATCAAGGGGGAACCTTCACTGGGCCCAGAAACAAAGTCCCCCTTCATTTGGTCATTTGGTCAACAAGTACTTACTGGGCACTGACCGTCAGGTGTGTGTTGTTTAAACTGGCTCAGTGCCTGCACAAGCTCCAAGGGAAGGGGAAGCAGGCTTGGGGAATGGGAAATGTTGGCAACCCTGACTTCTTAAGCCTATTGATAGCCCTATTGAAAATTGCATGCCCAACCTCTCCACCTCCTTATCCTCCTCCATGTGGCTCAATTTCCAAAGCAGTTCCTACCTCCTCACCCCTAAGTGGATTTACTTATGGCTCTTCTTGGGCTCCACCCTAACCCTATCAGACTATAATCTATCAGAGCAAACATTCTGTTTTGTTCTCTGATGTATCCCATGTACCTAGATCACAGCCTGGCATGTCATAGGCCCTCAATAAATATTGGTTGAATTAAATTGCAAATGTAAACGCTTTAGAAGACAACATTTGTCTGGACATGGTTGTGTGCGTTTATTCTTAAAAGTGACTTATAATCTCATAAATCTGTATGAAATGAACATAGATACAGCACATGCATATAACAGGAAACATTTCTTGCGAAGATGCTGCTGTAGGATTATGGAGGGTGGGGGAATCTGGGTCTCCAAAAATCTTTTAATTTTTAAATTTCTTTGAATAAGCCCCTTTTCTTCTGCTTTCCATATGTTTTGACACATACAAAAATCTCCCCAAGATCCTTGGGGAACTGTATTCCATCATTAGACTAATCCTTGCTGCCACTTCTCAGTTTTTATTTATGCAAACGGCAAAATGTGTTGCTCAAGTGCTATCACACACAGATATATCTGTTTCTCTATTTTGGAATCCTTGTCTCAAATGTTACTCACTTTACATGCCTTTTCTGTTGTCTTCTTTTTTTTTTTTTTCTGAAGGACCTTGTAAAGTCAAAAATGTCAGAAACTTCCAGGACCGCCTTTGGAGGCAGAAGAGCAGTTCCACCCAATAACTCTAATGCAGCGGAAGATGACCTGCCCACAGTGGAGCTTCAGGGCGTGGTGCCCCGGGGCGTCAACCTGCAAGGTATGAGCATACCCCCCTTCCCCACCACTCTGGGTCCAGGCACAGCCGGGCCCTGGCCCCTCTTCCCTGCAGGTAAACATCCTCTGTCTCCACTGGGGTTCCCACAAAAGGAAGCCCCCTGCCAATCTCTGGTTTTATAAAGGAAGAAAGCAAAAGCTTTCTTTTAAGTGGTGAAAGCACCGAAGACCCAGAGCCTTGTCCCAGTTCTGCCCCTTACTGACCTTGTAACCTCAGAGAAGTTGCTTTGTCTTTCTGCCTCTCAACTATTTCCTCTACAAAACCAGAGTGCTGGATTAGCTAGGGCCTCTTCCAGCCCTACTGCTCAATGCTTTAGAGAATTTTCTCTAGCTGGAATATTCCACTTCCAAAATATTGTGGCTGTTTTGATTGTCTGGCTTGCACCTCCTTCCTTCTCCCTCCTCCCTCCTCCATCCATTGCTGTGAATTTCAGAGCCGGGGAGAAGTGCCAGACTCTGACAGTAATAGAGATAGAAGCCCTCTATTTCTCTCCAGAGCAGCCTGGTGAGCTGGCAAGGCAAGCTGCTTCCCCAGCCTCTTGCCTCTGCCTGATCCCTAGAAACCTGTTCCGGGTACAGCAGCCGGCAGCTGACCTCCTCTCAGCCCTGTCAGTGGTGACAAGGTCCAGGTGCCAGCACTGGTTTGGTGATACAGACATCATTCCCCTGGGCCATGGCAGGGACATTCAGACTCATGTCCCCGAGTGGCATTGAGCAGGGAGTCTTTTTTGTCAATAACATTCATGCACCAAAATCTAATTTTACTCCTAAGGGTGTTCTGTGCTGGGTTTCACTGGGGATAAACACCTATTTGCTGGGATAGGTGAGCATGGTCATGCTGGAGCTGTGTGGTCGATTCCCCTCATTAGAAGGAGACCAATGCCTGAAAGCCCAGATTGATGCAGCTCTCCATATAGCAAAGGGAAAGGGGAAGTGCAGTTTATCCAGCAAGCCAGACACTTGCCCAGGTGTTGTGGACTGGTGTCATTGTGTTACTGTCACACTAGATGATTTGATATCAAATAGTGAAATCAGGGAGGTATCCAGTACCATCCAAGTTTGGGAAAAGAAGTTCACAGAACAGAAGGGCATCTTCAGTCAGGTGGTAGAGTTTGAGGGGCTAAGACGAACTTGTAGTTCTGAAATCTGTCTCCCAGCTGGATGCCACTCTCTAAAACCCCACCTTGACAGCCACAGAACTGAGTTTAAGAGGACTTGCTAATCAATGAATCCTCATCCCCATGTTATATGTTAGGAAATAGAGGCTGAAGGTAAGCAGTTGATATTCACTGCTTACCCAGTCTACGAGTCTTTTTCTTTAAGAATGCAAATAAAATGCAAAAGCCTACAGATATCAAATTATTAAGCAGGTTGCCTTTGTGTATTCCATCTTCTAGCAAAATTCCCCTGTGGCCCAAAAGACTCTGGGCCCCCGGAAAGGGGGTGTAGGCACTGGAAGAAGTGGGCAGTAAGAACAGGAGGAGTAATGACACAACCGTCCTTGCCACGAGGAGTCAGGACACAGCCACCCTTGCCAGGATTGGGAAAAACGGGAACCTCTACAAAGGCAGTGCAGGGAAGCAGGGAAGCAGAGAGCAGAGGCAGAAGACCTGGCTTCCTGTTCCACATCTGCCACTTCTTGCTCACTCTGGGAAAGTCATATTGGTGCCCAAGCCTCAGTTTCTCCATCAGCAAAATGGAAGCAATGCCTACTTCACAGATTGTCGTGAGCATCTAGTGAGCAGTGTCTGTGATCAAGTCTGACCCACAGCACGTGACCAATAAGTGTTCATTGACTGGGAATGTGCAACTTATCATATCCCAGCAAGGTCAGGAAAGCACTCCAGGGAATACTTGTTCCTATGAGGAATATGTACGACCTGTAGCCCCCATAAATCTGACATCTGAACAAAATGCTGCTAGTAAGACATTAAAACTGTCAGAGAACATGTGCAGGTAGGCCAATTAAGAAAAATAAAATCTGGGATTACTGCTTTTGTTGATTTCTGGAGGCACAGGTGGGGAGCAGCATAACTGAATTACTCTGAAAAAATCAGTCATTATTTACTTGGCAGACATATGTGTCCACAACCCAAGTGACATTCTGGGATATCCATTAGAGGCACTGGCATAGGAATATGAATGTCCAGTGACTGTAGAATGAATGAACGAACAGTCAATCACTTGTGAATTGAATGACTCATAGCTCTAGTGGCATTATAATTTATTATTAATAACAAGCTACAGATTTCATACATATGCATTCATTTAATATTTTTCACAGACAAGATAAGTGTTACATGCTCTGGGGATACGGTTTCTGAAGCCCAGAATCATGACAGCAAGTCCCAGATGAGAAGGACAGGAAAAAAACTATATATATATATATATATATATATATATATATATATATATATATATATATATATATATATATATGCACACACACATAGCAGCACACAAACCATCTGAACAAGGAGGTCTATCTCCTGGTTACCTTTTGCATTTCAGATTTATATTTAATTGTTCTAAAAGCAGGTTTTCTGGCACTATATATCAAGTTTTCTCCAAGTCACTAAGGGACGAAATTTGCTAAGCGACTAAACCTTGGAAAGAACACTCATTTTTAAAATGCCATCTTCATGCAGTTCACCCAGTGGCCACTAGTGGCCTCTAAGAGGCCTTGTATCCGCGGTTACCAATCTGCGGATGATGACTTTGGCTCCAGGAACACCAGCCCCAAGTTAAACTCTTGTCTCCATTTTTTTCAGTGGCCACTCTTCCAGTTAGCAAGCTGCTCTTGTAATACTGACTGAGAAATGCAGAGAGGCAAGAAGAGGAAAAGGGGGGAAATGGCGGCTTTTTCATTTCTAATAGTTCTGTAGCAGTGAGTCCTGCCCATCACTGTGTGTGATATATACAGTGTTCTAAGGTATACTGAGTGTATATAACGCCCTTAAGTCATGGCTTTGGTAACATTTGGTTAAGAATTATTTTGGTAAAATCTGTATTTTAAAATGTATAAACTCATGTAAGTTTCCTCTCATACACACCATGATATTCAAGAAAAAAAAAATGAAATATTTGAGGTAGGCACGGAAATCCCAGAGGTGGGACCAGCCATTCAGTGGTAGCGTTTGACATCTTTGCATGATTTTAGGCATCTTTAATGTCACCCTTTGAATTCAGTTGTAGCCAGGAAAGGTACTGAGACGATCTCCTCAGATTTGGATTTGTATCAATTTCTAATAGACTGTTCTGCAGGCTTAGTTGGTGTTTCTGAAAAATCTCTCCACTGCCTTCCTGGTCTGAAAGGTTATGTGTAGCTGGAAATGTAATATTCCAGAAGAAACCTTATGTTGTTGGTCTGCTTTGGCTCTATATTGTTAACAATAGGCGACCATTTGTAGCAGTAATTGGAATCATTTAACAGTTCTATTGTATTGAATTAAAACTGGAAAGCAAGCCTGGCCCTATTTAAAAACTGGGTTCTAGTAGTTTTTCAGGCTAATGGGGTCTTATACCTTTCTAAGAATCTCCTCCATCCCACCACTCCTTGTCAGAATTAAATCAACCAATTAATGATAAACCTCCTCTTTGTGCAGAGTAAACCTCTCTGGATTGAAGGTTACTGAGAGACTAAGAGGCATTCAGTGTATGACTGAGAAATGCTATTGTCCAGCAGCAGTTCCTCCTTTCATTCAGTTCCTGGAAAAATATACACTGGTTTTCACATATGTGTCAGGAGCTGCTCCAGGCTGTCCCTTGGGACATGAAGTTGAGTAAGTTAGTCCCTGGCCTCAAGAAACTCTCAGTGTAGAAGACAAAATAAATAAAAGATCATTGCAATTCAGTGTAATAAAGACTGTGACTGTGATTTATGCAAATTGCAGTGAAATAACAGAAATCAATGTCTAGCGGTGTGGTGGAGTGGGGAAGAGGATGAGGAGGGCTTCCTGATGCAAGGATATTGGAGCCGAGACTTAGAGGATGAGTATGAGTGTTCCTGACAGGCAAGCGCATGGAAAAGTGTTTGCAGTAGAGGGAACAGTATATTGCAAGTGAGGAGGGACTAAAAGATGAAAGAGAAGATATAAGCCTGGGAAAAGATGGCAGGCATCACACCATACCAGGCCTTGGGGATCTTGCTTTCCTCCTGCAGATAATGCGGGACTTGAGAAGGATTCTAATTAGCAGAAATACATAATCAGAATTATGCTTTACAAAGTGGTAGGGAGGGCTGGGCACGGTGGCTCATGCTTGTAACCCCAGCACTTTGGGAGGCCGAGGTGGGCAGATCACCAGATCAGGAGTTCGAGACCAGCCTGGCCAACATGGTGAAACCCTGTCTCTACTAAAAATACAAAAATTAGCCTGGGGTGGTGGTTGGCGCCTGTAATCCCAGCTACTCGGGAGGCTGAGGCAGGAGAATCGCTTGAACCTGGGAGGTGGAGGTTGCAGTGAGCCGAGATTGTGCCATTGCACTCCAGCCTGGGCGATAAGACCAAGACTCCGTTTCAAAAAAAAAAAAGAGTAAGGAGAAAATGGAGAACAGGAGATATGTTTGGAAGCTGTAGAGATACTCCAGGCTAGAAGAGGAATAGACCAGAGGGGTTTTAGCCCCTGGAGGTATGGGGCTCATTTCTCTTGTTCCAGCTTCCTCTGAGCACCTGAGCAATCCTTCAACATTATAGGTTCCAGGATGTATTAATAACAACACTTTATAAATTAAGCCACTTAAGAAAATGCTTTTAATCATTCTAATTAAGGACATGTTAAAATTCTGGGTACCCAAAAGAAATGTGAGAAAGAGTTATTTTTCCTGTTTTTTTTTAAATAAATCAGTTTCTCATGGATAGCATTTATGCTTATAGTTCAATAACAATATTACCAAAAATTGCATGGAGAATTCAGTTCACTAGGGAATTCCTAGTATATAAACCTAAACATTTAACTTATTTCAAGATCCCATCTGTGACAGGTATAATCATTCTCTGAAGAATATTTTACAACCTAGGGAGACAATAATTTACATTTTGTTCATATTAGACAAAAAGTAGGAGGACAGGGAGGCAGTTGCTCCTCCGGAGATTTTTTTCTTTTCTTTAACAGTCCATTTTCCGATATGTTTGGAATTAGGCTAAATTGTGTTAGGTAGACAGTTTGAAAGCTGTCACTTTGAAAGAGCGAGCTGCCAAGTTTCTAGCTACCGTATTTAAAAAAAAAAAAAAAAAAAAGGCGGCTTAGCAATGAGCTGTTCCATTTTGCCAGGAACTAGGCTTGGACAGGGGAAGCAAATTCATTTCCTGTTTGTGGCAAACGGAGTCTGGATGATGATAAGACTTTTTCCATCTAAACTGCCTTGTTAACCCAGTAAACAAAGCAAAAATCAATATGCTAGATTCATCAATGCTTGCTGGAACACACTCCATGGCAAGGGACATTTCCTAGGCAAAATGGACAATGGAATGAACAATGATATTTTTATGTCTATGTTCATATTTTATACAGTCATCTTCAGAGTCTTTGATACTATCAGCTGTTATAAGAACCAAATACTTGGTTGACCTGTGTGTGGCTGACTCATGGGCAATGAAATAAATTTTGTTGAATCAGTGGTATTGGGGACCTCACCTCTATCCCCAATACTTTGGACAACCCATTAAGCTTGCTCATGTCTTTTCCATTTGACTACAGTCTGGAACATTATTTCTTTAAACTCTCAACCTCTCTGTGTAGCTTTTAATCTTCCCCTTCTTAGCCAAGTTTTATTTTATTTTTTATGAAATGTCTTTCTTTGTTTAAATCATTTTAAGACAGACTTTTTTTGTTTTTGTTTTGAGACGGAGTCTTGCTCTGTCACCCAGGCTGGAGTGCAGTGGCGCGATCTCGGCTCACTGCAAGCTCCACCTCCCGGGTTCAAGCGGTTCTCCTGCCTCAGCCTCCCGAGTAGCTGGGACTACAGGCACGTGCCACCACGACCAGCTAACTTTTCTTTTTTTTTTTTTTTAGTAGAGACTGGGTTTCACCATATTGGCCAAGATGGTCTCCATCTCTTGACCTCGTGATCCGCCCCCCTCAGCCTTCCAAAGTACTGGAATTACAGGCATGAGCCACCGCGCCCGGCCCCCAAGACGCACTTTTAAGAGATTATACAGGAAAGTTTTACTTATCACTGCCTTAGTTTTTCCCCACTTATAGTACCACTGTGATTTTATGTTTTTCCTGAGGCATTGGCTTGTTGAAGTGATATTGCAACAGAGAATCAAAAGATCACTTAGAAAAAGTAACATGTTAGAAAACATCATGCTTAGAATTAAATGTCTAAAGTATACCAGTATAGATGATATAATTTAAAACAATTGATACTATCAGCTGTCATAAGAACCAAATACTTGGTTGACCTGTGGGTGGCTGACTCATGGGCAATGAAATAAATTTTGTTTTATACGTATAACTTTATATATATGTAACTTTATATATATATAAAAAGTTTGCTTATATATAATATATATACACATATCATATATAAATATATTGTTTATAATATGTAAACAATATATACATAAATAATATATAAAAACTATATATTATATATGTAAACAATATATTTTTAAAAACCAAACTCATGGGTTTATAGTTTTTTCATAGTGAAAACAAACAAATATATAAACAAATATATAGTTTGCTTATATCTATTATATATAAACAATATATAATATATAAAGATATAAATAATATATAATATATAAATATATATTTGTAATATATAATATATAAATAATATATATTTGTAATATATTATTTGTTTATATCCATTATATAATATAAACATATGTAATATATATAATTTATATGAACAATATATAATATATAAACAATATATGTTTTTATATATTATATATAAACATATATATTCATGATATATATGTATGTTTGTTTACACTATGGAAAAACTATAAACCCATGAGCTGGGGTTTTGTCTTTTTTTTTTTGACTTAGGTTTTCTATTCTCAAAGGCATTAATCAGCACCCTTTTTCTCACCCTTTGTTATCAACATATAAGCAGGCTAGAAAGACAGTATTTTATTCCAATGTGAAACAAAACTGCTGATCTGGAGGTCTTATGTTATAAATTCCCACATCATACCTTCAACTATATATATGTCCTGAAACTAGCATATTTTGAGAATAAAATGGTAAATGACATTTAAAGGACACCTATGGTTAATCCTACAGTAAATGAGATAATTTATTTTGAAATGAATGATCAACTCTACGCTCCAAATTTTCACGTAAAAGGTGTTCAGGTGAAAGGAGGCATATTTGCTGTGGCATTTCTGCACACTGCCCCAGGCACTATAGCAAGATAATTAAGACATGGTCCAGTCTTCAAGGGGATTACAATCCCATGGCTAAAAAATCACCTATATAAAGATAATACAAAGAGACAATGATACTTTTTTTTAAAAAAAAAAAGACAGATGTTTCCTGCGAATCAAGAGGAGAAATGCTTTCTATTTACCTGTGGAAATTCAAAGCAAGCCTGTCTGCTCAGAAGATAAGGAGTATAAAATGGCATGCTTCCCTGGGAAGGCTGGAAGGCCACTGCTAAAAAGCTTCCCAGGGACCTTCTTTACCTTGTGACTTCCATTGCTCAGATTCCAGCCTCACACCATGCCTTCTCAGATACCTGACTACTTAATGATTGGTCCTAAGGGCCAATCCAAATGCTCAGTGCTATTATGATTATTATTGCCATCAATTTCTGAGCATTTACCATGTACCAGGCCCTAGGATAGAGCACTCGGTGCATTTTCTCATTTAATCCTCACACCAACTTCATTTTGCAGATGAGAAAACTGAGGCACAGGACATTTATGTAACTTGCCAAGGTCACAAAGACAGTACGTGAGAGTTGGGATTTGGGTTCAGGCAGCCTAGCTCCACAGTCTATGCTCTTACTATGCTCTTCTACTTCTCTTAATAATAATAACAACAACAATAATAATAAACATTTATTAAGAATGTACTTGGTGTCAGCCACTCTATAAGATAGGTACTTCATTCCCATATTAAAGATAAGAAAACTGAGGCTCAGATAGATTAAATAACTTTTCTGAGGCTGCACAATAAGTAAGTAGTGAAGCATTTCCAAAAACATATTCTGAAAAATGCAGATCTCCAAAGAAAAAAGTTTCCATAGTCATTTACATTTGGAAACCATTGCCCCTCTGAGATATCTGTGGTATACATCAGCATATTAAAGTCTCACATGAATGCTTCAGTAAAGAATCCTGATCAGCTTTGGTTAGGCCAGCATTTTCCACACTGGTTTAAACATGGAGCTCTAATTCTTCCAATACCTGTCAATATCCCATAAAACTAGCACTATGCCATGATGGACTGACTCTAACCAGTCTCACTAGACATTAACCAGGTACACTAGGCTAGGAGGTAAAGCTGGAAAGCCAGGTTTTCATTTGCAATGAGAACTAGGATGGATGAGACATACCAATGATACCAAAGAAATACTCGAATATTTCTCCGTCTCCAGCCTTACTTTGCCTTGTAGGTAGAGCTGCTTGGGAAGCCAAGGCAGGACTCATTTCAGGGACACATTATCATGCAGGGAGGGAGGGTAGGAATAGAGAAGGCAAATCCAGGAGTACCAGAGGAGCAGTGCCTTGAACCCCTACATGCAGGCTAAACTCACGTGGCCCCTCACCCAGAACACTGCAACAGCTTCTTAACTGGGTTCAGCTTCCAGCTTTGCCCCTTCCAATCCCTTTTCCACTCTGCCACCAGAAGCAGTTTCAATATATATATAAATCTAATCATGTCAGTTTGCTGTTTCAGATTCTTCACTGGATCCACCATGCAATTAAAACCCAAACTCCTTCGCATGGTCTCCAAGGCTCGTGTGATGAGCAGGCTCCTCCTTACTCTTCCACCGTGGCTCCCACTAGTACATTTCAGCCAACCATCATCTTTCAATTTCTTAAGCAACTATGCACTCTCTTGCCTCAGTCTTCACCTATCCTTCTTTCTCCGCCTGAAGCATTCCTCTCCACCCCCCTTTCCACATGGACAACTGACTCCTCTTTTGCTCACTGCTTATGTCTCACTTCCTTCAGAGAAATTCCTTATTTTCTACCCCCTAAATGTGGGTTAGGGGCTCCTCCCTGATACTCCCCTCAGTTCTCTTTACTTCCTTTGTCAGAGATGTCTGACACTGTGTCATAATTATCTGTCCACATTTTAGCATCTACTGCTGTGCGTTTACTTAGTTAGTAGTTATTAGACAGTTGCCTAATCAACATTTATACCCATGTCTTGAGTGGCAACATAAAATAGCACACTTATAACATTCCCAGAGGACAAGAAGCTAGGGAGAATATTAAATATATTAAATGCATACTTAGGGGTTAAAATGATCTTAAGAGCATGGGACAGTGAGCCAAATTCAATAAGAAGAAATTTAACCCATGCAAAGTCTTAATATCGAACTAAACAGAAGAAAACAATTGCACAAATAAATATAGCCAAATAGCAACATGAGTGGGTGACTTGTAGGGGCCTCAACTGAATTTTGATCCATTGTTGCTAGAAATAACATTAGAATGTGTTTTAAGGGAGGCTGAGGCAGGGGGATTACCTGAGGTCAGGAGTTCAAGACCAGCCTGACCAATATAGTGAAACCCCATCTCTACTAAAACAAAAACAAAAACAAACAAATTAGCCAGGCATGGTGGTGTGAGCCTGTAGTCTTAGCAACTTGAGAGGCTGAGACATGAGAATTGCTTGAACCCGGGAGGCAGAAGTTGCAGTGAGCTGAAATTGCACCACTGAACTCCAGCCTGAGCAACAGAGCAGGACTCTGCCTCAAAAAAAAAAAAAAAAAAAAAAAAGAATGTGTTTTAAGGGTTTTGCTTTATCAGATGCATAATATAAATCAACAGTGAGTTAAGAGTATCCAAGACACTGACAATATCTTGATTTGAAATAATAGACTGTTTATTTTAAAAGATGTAATGGTCTCTTTTTTTTTTTTTTACAGAAAAACCACAACTAGAGTAATGTACTTAATTCCAGAAAATAACACTTCAAAAGAGAAATTGACAAAGTGGAAAATATTCCAAAACAGAGCGTTGGATAAAAGTTCTAGAAATAACTTCTTAAAAACAGTTAAATAGGCTGGATGTGATGGCTCACGCCTATAATCTTAGCACTTTGGAAAGCCAAGCCGGCGGATCACCTGAGGTCAGGAGTTCAAGACCAGCCTGGCCAACATGGTGAAACCCCGTCTCTATTAAATTTTTTAAAAATACAAAAATTAGCGGGGCATGGTGGTGAGTGCCTGCAATCCCAGCTACTCAGGAGGATGAGGTGGGGAGGATTGCTTGAACCCAGGAGGCAGAGGTTGCAGTGAGCCGAGATCGCGCCACTGCACTCCAGTCTGGGTAACAGAGCAAGACTCTGTTTCAAACAAGCAAACAGTTAAATAAATGAAGAATGTTTTACTCAGAAAAAAAAAAAATCCTATGAGCAGTCTTTAAATACCTAGAGAGTGCCAGCTAAAATGAATAAGAGGACTTATTCTATATTTATCTAGAAGTCAGAACGAGGACCCATGGTTAGAAAAATTACAAGGAAGCAGATGTCAGTTTATCTTAAGAGAAGTTTTCAAATAATTAGAGTTGTTTAAAAATGGACTGTTTGCCCTATGAAAAAATGAGTTCCCTGTTCAAATGGAAGCTAGAAGCCCAAGTAGTAGGGCTCTCATGAAAATGTTTCATGCAGGGTATAGTAGTTCTACCAGATGGCTGAGAAAATGCTATTGCTGTTCTGTGAGATTCTGTAAGGATGTAATATCAGTATATTCCTTCCATTGGTGCTGGTAAACGGAGAACTGATGAAACCCATTTCTAAGGACTTTGGTGTTTAGCTATTTTTAAAAAAAAAACTTTAAAGCCCCTGTGCTAAGAAAGAGGACCAGAGGAGTTGATTGCTAAGCTCCTTTTCAACAGGAACATTTGTGCTCCTCCAGCTCATTCTTGGGCTGGTTTATCACGGGGATTGTGGTCTTAATAAGACCAGAGGACTTAGGAGAAAGGCAGCTTGGAATAGAGAGGTCTAGAGAATTAAACATCTTTAGCTCACAGCATAATGGAAAGAAAGTGCCCTTCAGGGGAACATGTATACAACAGGGTTCTGAGAAGAGGTAAAAATAAAACTGCATCCTGCACTTTCTGCTTGCCGTAATGCTGCAGTCAGGGTAACCCGGGGAGCACCACGCCCTGTGAAATGGCTGTCACAGTTTAGGGGCAGTGAGCCACAGTAAGCCTAGGACCCACTATGTGCCAGGCATAGTGCCAGACCCACTGCACCGTTATCTCATTGAGCCTTCATAGACCTTCTCAGGGTATTAGTATCCTCATTTTAAAATAAGAAAATTCAGATTCTGAAAGGTAAAGTACCTTAACGCAGTAATTTTGACACCTGAGATTCAAACTCAGGATTGCCTGAACTTTGAATTGCTCAGCAGTGTTTCAGGAACTCCTGGACTTTAGGACCGAAGAGGATCTTAAAGAGCCCAACTTCTTGGTTTTGACTATGGAACACAATGGGGTCCAAAGGGACCAGGCATCCTGCACAGGATTTATGTGTGGAGGTAAAGGAAGCCATTCGACTATGGCAGGAGATGCCCCGGCATGGGTACAAGCTCAGCAACTGTGCTTTCTGCGCACATGGTGCTTATAGCCATGAAGGCAAATCATGCATCAGGCAGGGGCAGGGAGGGGGAGGGCAAGAGGCCAGGGCACCCCTGCCGACCCTTCTACCCTCCCACCCCACCTTCTCCCCAATAACTCTTTACAATGCCAAATGCACATGCAGAAACCAGTCTCTAGACTAGATCTTCTAAAGTACAGTGAGGACAGGGAGTTAGGATGACCCCCACTTTCAGTCATCATTCATAGAGGGGAAGGGGAAAAGGGCAGGAAGAGAGCTGACTTTCATGTGTCAGACCCTTTGCTAAATGCTTGCATACGTGTCATCTCATGCCGTCTCCTGTCACATTCCTGTAAGAAGTGGAACATGTTAGGCTATGAAATGAATATTAGTGTCTCCATTCTATGATGAAGAAATGAATTTAAGTCACACATACAAAGTTAGACAACTAAGAAACATGTGATTTACGTTTACACTCCTGATGCCACAAATCAAAAGAAAAACCTGTGAATGTTGGCATCAGACAGTCCAGGTTTTGACTTTTGAACTGGCCCATTAGTAGCTAAGGAAAGCTGAGGATAGTTTCTGTGTCACTGAAAACAATCACACTTATCTCATGGAAATCTTAGTGTCCTTTCTCCAGACCTGCTCCCTCTCTTTCCTGCATTTGAGGGATGAGATCTACTTTTAGAATTACAGAGGGAGGAGGCATTTGACCCTTTTTGAGGTAAAAGGAGAATTTTAGATTAATGGCTAACTTTGTCCTTCGAATGTCCCCTTGAGGCTTTGTCAGATTTGATTCCTTCCTTTGGAAAGATAAGAAAATTGAAGTGGCTATTCCCTGCTTCTGCCTGGTTAGTCACAGAGTGAGGCAGTGACATGATGGGAAGCTTCTAACATAACGAAAACTAGCGTGAGACTGAGAACCTGAAGACTTCAACTCTGGCCCTAGCTTCTCTGTATTTGGATCTCCCAGACAGGCATCCATCTATCCCACAGTGAGTGCCTTGTGGTCTGAAACGAGATCAAAGGTGGAAAAAGCTTTAAAAAGCTCTCTTCAAAAACAAGAATGTCACAAGAGGCTGACTCTCGAGACTGTGTTCCCCTACCCCTGCCTCCTACAGAGTTTCATTCAGCAGACCTTGCTACCTGCCTTCTTCAGGGAAAATAATCTTGTTTTTGAGTTTATGTTTAAACTAAAGTTAGTTGATTATTTTCTTCAACCCTTGTTTTTCTTGTTCATAGAGTTTCTTAATGTCACGAGCGTTCACCTGTTCAAGGAGAGATGGGACACTAACAAGGTGGACCACCACACTGACAAGTATGAAAACAACAAGCTGATTGTCCGCAGAGGGCAGTCTTTCTATGTGCAGATTGACTTCAGTCGTCCATATGACCCCAGAAGGGATCTCTTCAGGGTGGAATACGTCATTGGTGAGTGCCATGTGCAAGCTCCAGTCTTGACACCATGGGTTGCATTGTAGAGAGAGGTGGGTACAGGCACAGTTGTGTGATTTCCTAGTGTCATATGTCAACAGTGGCAGGAGCTGGAATGACATCCAGCCCCTGAATTACCCTGTGCTCTAAGACTGGTCTGTATAGTGCCAAATATTGATAACTTGGGCCCACCCAAGGAGAAAATCTCATATAAATAAAAGTAAAACTGGTATAATGTGTTGCTTAACTAAATTATTCTTCCTCAAACAAATGGTTTTGGCATCCTATGATTCTAACTTTTATCTCCATGATTTAATTGGTCTCGTGCTGAAAATGTTTGTAAATCTTAGCATGCAATCCAAGTATGCATTCCGAAAGTTGATTCTGCTCTGATCTAGTCCCATGGGATGGCCCGTGAAAAATATAGTCCAATAAACTTCACTAAACACTTTGTACTTTAATCACCCTTTTTTTTTTTTTTTTTTTTGAGACAGAGTCTTGCTCTGTTGCCCAGGCTGGAACAGTGGTGTGATCTCAGCTCACTGCAACCTCTTCCTCCTAGGTTCAAGCGATTCTGGTGCCTCAGCCTCCAGAGTAGCTGGGACCACAGTTGCACACCATTACGCCCAGCTAATTTTATGTATTTTTGGTAGAGGCAGAGTTTCACCATGTTGTCCAGGCTGGTTTCGCACTCCTAACCTCAAGTTATCCACCCACCTCAGCTTCCCAAAGTGCTGGGATTGCAGGCATGAGACACCATGCCCAGCCTTTAACCTCCTCTTGAAGATTAACGATGCACATTAGCTTCAAAGGTCTGGGGAAGGACCATTTAACTTTGGTCTGGTGCTTCTTAAATTAATTTGATCATGGAACCCTTTTATTAAGTTATAGCTATTAACTTTTGACACATTTTGGTAAACATTTCTATAGGAATTTATAAGATTATCAAGGAAATACATGCACAGAGAAGCAGGGGTGGCACAACATAGGAAATCTGCCCATATAATCCTATGCACAAATTAAAGGAAAAAATTAGGCAATCAAATCAGCAGTCACAGAAAGGTACATGGTAAAATTCAGCATCCAGTTTTAGGAAGAGTTTAAGGGGAAAAATTTAGAAAAAAAACACCTCAATGATAATAAAGATTGCTTACATCAAAACAACAACTTTTGATATCTAAGTGGAAAAAAGTTAACAAATTTCACTGTAATCAGAAATTAGAAAGAAATGCCTGCTATCATCATTCCCTTTTTAAAAAGAAGTACTTTAAAGGTTTTAGTAAATGAACAATGTAAGAGATACATCTGCTATAAATGCTGGAAACTAAGAAGTAAAACTATATATTTGCTAATACTATGATTGTGTATGTAGAAAACCCAACAGATTCAAGGGAAAAAAGCACTGTATTAATAAAACTTTGTAAGTTGGCTAGATAGAAGATAAATATATAAAAATCAATAACTTTTATCTTCCCCAGCACTAAGCACCCAGAAATAGACATAAAAAAATTTCACATGACCAAAACTATAAAATGTAGGACTAAAACCTGAACACGCAACCTATATAAACCAGCTATTAAATCTTAATAAAAAACATGAGAAACCAATGAAAAGTCAAACATGTTCTTGAGTGGGAAGTCTTTCTGTATACATTTTTAGTCTCCCAAGGGGTTGGTCAAAGAATACAAAATTTCAGTTAGATGGAAGGAATGAGTTTTAGTGACCTATTCCACAGCATGGTGACTATAGTTAATAATAATGTATATTTCCAAATTACTAAAAGAGTAGATTTTAAATATTCTCACCACAAAGAAATGGTATGTGAAGGAATGAATATGTTAATTAGCTTGAATTAATCAATCCACAATGTATATTTTGATCAAAACATCACATATTGATCAAAACATCACATCCCAAAACCCCATAAACATATACAATTATGATTGTCAATTTTTAAAAGCCTCCCAAAATTAATATGTAAATTTAATGCATTTCCAATTAGAATCCCAGTGGAGTTTTGAGTTGTCTTTGGCTTTGGTTTTGGTTTTTTGGACTTGTATAAAATAATCTTAAAGTTCATTTGAAATAATAATTACCTGGTGATAACCAAGGAAATCATACAAAGAAATAATAAGTAAGAGTATTTTCTTTCTGAAGCGGCTATCAGAACATACTATGAAAAATATTTAGTAGGACATAATAGAGAATCCAGAAATGGATTTCAGTATATGAGTTAATATGATTGTTGGTTTCATGAAGTAAGAAGACCATATGAGATTTTATCTGTTTGCTTGTTTGTTTTTACATAAATGATGCAGAAATAACTGACTCTCCAACTGGAAGAAAGTTTAAAAATTGACCCTCATCTTGTCCCATATACAGTAGTAAATCTCAGATGGAATGAGTATTAATGTAAAAAAGACAATTTTTTGAGGAAATTTAACAGACTTAACTAAAAACTGGAAACTCTGACACTGTAGAAGAAAGCAAGAACCATGTACAGTTATGTGCCACATAGCAACATTTCAGTCAATGACAGATCATGCATAGGTGATCTTATGAGATTCTGATGGAGCTGAAAAATTCCTGTTACATAGTGATGTCATAGCTATCATAATAGAATAGTGAGATTACTTATTTTTTTAAATGTACTGTAGCCTAAGTTTATAGTGTTTATAAAGTCTACAGTAGCATGCAGTAATGACCTAGGCCTTCGCATTCACTCACCACTCACCCAGGGCTACTTCTGGTCCTGCACGTTCCATTCATGGTAAGTGTCCTATGCAGGTGTACCATTTTTTACTTTTTATATTGTATTTTTACTGTACTTTTTCTATGTTTATATATAAATGTTTCTATGTTTATATATAAATACTTACCATTGTGTTACAATTGCCTGCAGTGCTGTATTCAGTACAGTAAAACACACTATGAGTCTGTAACCTAACAGCAGTAGGCTCTGCCATATAGCCTAGGTGTGTAGTGGGCTGTACCATCTTTGTTTCTATGATGTTCACACAATGACAAAATCACCTGCCTAACAACATATTACATCCCGTGCATGACAACAAATTCACGTTTGAAGCTCTGGACCACAGTTCTGCTGCAATTATGAGGGAAGTTTTATCTCCATCTTTAAAGCCAAATATTTAGGGTGGGGAGAAGAGGAGAGGGAAGCTTCAATTCTGAATTGGACTTGTCTGAGGTTTGAAACACTCTCATAGGCCGTTCAGAAAATAATTATGATAATGGAAGTCTTAGAAAAACTGGTAAGATGAATGTCTTAGATCGGGTTACTAGGAAATAAACTCTGAGAAGAAGACTTGTGCGCAGAAAGTTTACTGGGGAGATCTCTCAGGATCAACATCTGCAAGGGAGTGGAGGAATCACTGTTGGACAGAGGGAGGAGTTGAACTGCAGTGCAGACAGGGCCCCCGTGGATCTCAAGGTGAACTCTAGCTATGGGTTGGATCTTCAGAGTTGTCTCGCCTTGAGCCAAGGGCATGGGCCTGTTATACCTTTTATACCTTGACTGGGGTTACAGCCTTGGTGTAATTGGTTCTCTGTGGCTGAGGGTAACCCCTGAAAGCAACTAAATGAATGAGAATTGTCAGCCACCAACACTCCCAACAATGGGAAAGGTCCAGGCAGCCCACCACAGCATCCATTACAGTGAACATTTTAAGTCCTCTTTTCTTTTTTACACAAGAAATACTATTACTTTTGTTCCCTCAATAAAAGAGGGGGAAAAGCATAGCTAATTTGTTTTTGAGATAAAATCTGTATATTTTTAAACCAACATGTATTCTAAACCTTTCAGAACCCATGATGTGTGCGTTCAGAGTTAAGCTGTATTCTAGTATGTGTGGGCCATTACAGGGCCACATGTATTTGAAGATTTTCTATTATAGGTCACACACATTTGAAGATGTTTCATTGCCCAACCTGTTGTAGATACAAGAAAGGCAAGTGACAAAATTCCACACTCTACTATTTAGTGTAGAAATTAAGCACACTTCGAGGGGCGTGGAAGGACCCATGGTAGAGGATTTATCTTGATCAGAGTCATTTCTGCATCTCACATCATTCAGGAAGTTACATGAGAGCCTCAACTTCATGGCTGCCATAGTTGTAAGACAGGAAGAAAAAAGAACATTGCTGGGGAAATAATTCTCTTAAAATTCAGTGCCTGTTTCAATAGGACTGAATAAAGCCAAGGAAATTAGATTTTAAGGCTAATTGCTATAATGAGAAGAGACAAGTATAGAACGTGAACTAGAAATGAAATTAAGTGCAAAGGTTTCTATATACAGGTGCACCTCAATTTCCAGAAACTCAGAAGGTAAAAGTGATGGTTTAAAAACGAAAAAGAATATAATTTCTATTCATTTTTAAAAATCTGGCAACACCATTTCAAGAGAAGATCCATTTTAGCTAACGTTTTACAATCAGCTAAATGTCTAAACATTTGAGATATCATTTACTATTAAAAGTGAACCAAAATGTAACATAAATTAAAAAAAAAAACAGACGAGAATAAATACTTTGTTAAAAATAAAGGGCACTTAAAAGAATCTCGGGGGGAGGAGCCAAGATGGCCGAATAGGAACAGCTCAGGTCTACAGCTCCCAGCCTGAGCGACCCAGAAGACAGTGATTTCTGCATTTCCATCTGAGGTATGGGGTTCATCTCACTAGGGAGTGCCGCACAGTGGGCACAAGTCAGTGGGTGCGTGCACTGTGCGCGAGCCGAAGCAGGGCGAGGCATTGCCTCACTCAGGAAGTGCAAGGGGTCAGGGAGTTCCCTTTCCGAGTCAAAGAAAGGGGTGACGGACGGCACCTGGAAAATGGGGTCACTCCCACCCCAATACTGCACTTTTCCGACAGGCTTAAAAAACGGCGCATCAGGAGATTATATCCCGCACCTGGATCAGAGGGTCCTACGCCCACGGAGTCTCGCTGATTGCTGGCACAGCAGTCTGAGATCAAACTGCAAGGCGGCAGAGAGGCTGGGGGAGGGGCGCCCGCCATTGCCCAGGCTTGCTTACTGAAACAAAGCAGCCTGGAAGCTCGAACTGGGTGGAGCCCACCACAGCTCAAGGAGGCCAGCCTGCCTCTGTAGGCTCCACCTCAGGGCACAGACAAACAAAAAGACAGCAGTAACCTCTGCACACTTAAATGTCCCTGTCTGACAGCTTTGAAGAGAGCAGTGGTTCTCCCAGCACACAGCTGGAGATCTGAGAACAGGCAGACTGCCTCCTCAAGTGGGTCCCTGACCCCTGACCCCCAAGCAGCCTAACTGGGAGGCACCCCCCAGCAGGGGCACACTGACACTTCACACGGCAGGGTACTCCAACAGACCTGCAGCTGAGTGTCCTGTCTGTTAGAAGGAAAACTGACAAACAGAAAGGACATCCACACCAAAAACCCATCTGTACATCACCATCATCAAAGACCAAAAGTAGATAAAACCACAAAGATGGGGAAAAAACAGAACAGAAAAACTGGAAACTCTAAAAAGCAGACCGCCTCTCCTCCTCCAAAGAAATGAAGTTCCTCACCAGCAACGGAACAAAGCTGGATGGAGAATGACTTTGACGAGCTGAGAGAAGAAGGCTTCAGACGATCAAATTACTCTGAGCTACGGGAGGACATTCAAACCAAAGGCAAAGAAGTTGAAAACTTTGAAAAAAATTTAGAAGAATGTATAACTAGAATAACCAATACAGAGAAGTGCTTAAAGGAGCTGATGGAGCTGAAAAGCAAGGCTCGAGAACTACGTGAAGAATGCAGAAGCCTCAGGAGCCGATGCGATCAACTGGAAGAAAGGGTATCAGCGATGGAAGATGAAATGAACGAAATGAAGTGAGAAGGGAAGTTTAGAGAAAAAAGAATAAAAAGAAATGAGCAAAGCCTCTAAGAAATATGGGACTATGTGAAAAGACCAAATCTACGTCTGATTGGTGTACCTGAAAGTGATGGGGAGAATGGAACCAAGTTGGAAAACACTCTGCAGGATATTATCCAGGAGAACTTCCCCAATCTAGCAAGGCAGGCCAACGTTCAGATTCAGGAAATACAGAGAACGCCACAAAGATACTCCTCGAGAAGAGCAACTCCAAGACACATAATTGTCAGATTCACCAAAGTTGAAATGAAGGAAAAAATGTTAAGGGCAGCCAGAGAGAAAGGTTGGGTTACCCTCAAAGGGAAGCCCATCAGACTAACAGCGGATCTCTCGGCAGAAACCCTACAAGCCAGAAGAGAGTGGGGGCCAATATTCAACATTCTTAAAGAAAAGAATTTTCAACCCCGAATTTCATATCCAGCCAAACTAAGCTTCATAAGTGAAGGAGAAATAAAATACGTTACAGACAAGCAAATGCTAAGAGATTTTGTCACCACCAGGCCTGCCCTAAAAGAGCTCCTGAAGGAAGCGCTAAACATGGAAAGGAACAACCAGTACCAGCCACTGCAAAATCATGCCAAAATGTAAAGACCATCAAGACTAGGAAGAAACTCCATCAACTAATGAGCAAAATCACCAGCTAACATCATAATGACAGGATCAAATTCACACATAACAATATTAACTTTGAATGTAAATGGACTAAATGCTCCAATTAAAAGACACAGACTGGCAAATTGGATAAAGAGTCAAGACCCATCAGTGTGCTGTATTCAGGAAACCCATCTCACATGCAGAGACACACATAGGCTCAAGATAAAAGGATGGAGGAAGATCTACCAAGCAAATGGAAAACAAAAAAAAGCAGGGGTTGCAATCCTAGTCTCTGATAAAACAGACTTCAAACCAACAAAGATCAAAAGAGACAAAGAAGGCCATTACATAATGGTAAAGGGATCAATTCAACAAGAAGAGCTAACTCTCCTAAATTTATATGCACCCAATACAGGAGCACCAAGATTCATAAAGCAAGTCCTGAGTGACCTACAAAGAGACTTAGACTCCCACACATTAATAATGGGAGGCTTTAACACCCCACTGTCAACATTAGACAGATCAACGAGACAGAAAGTCAACAAGGATACCCAGGAATTGAACTCAGCTCTGCACCAAGCGGACCTAATAGACATCTACAGAACTCTCCACCCCAAATCAACAGAATATACATTTTTTTCAGCACCACACCACACCTATTCCAAAATTGACCACATACTGGGAAGTAAAGCTCTCCTCAGCAAATGTAAAAGAACAGAAATTATAACAAACTATCTCTCAGACCACAGTGCAATCAAACTAGAACTCAGGATTAAGAATCTCACTCAAAACGGCTCAACTACATGGAAACTGAACAACTTGCCCCTGAATGACTACTGGATACATAATGAAATGAAGGCAGAAATAAAGATGTTCTTTGAAACCAACGAGAACAAAGACACAACACACCAGAATCTCAGGGACGCATTCAAAGCAGTGTGTAGAGGGAAATTTATAGCACTAAATGCCCACAAGAGAAAGCAGGAAAGATCCAAAATTGACACCCTAACATCACAATTAAAGGAACTAGAAAAGCAAGAGCAAACACATTCAAAAGCTAGCAGAAGGCAAGAAATAACTAAAATCAGAGCAGAACTGAAGGAAATAGAGACACAAAAAACCCTTCAAAAAATTAATGAATCCAGGAGCTGGTTTTTTGAAAGGATCAACAAAATTGATAGACCGCTAACAAGACTAATAAAGAAAAAAAGAGAGAAGAATCAAATAGACACAATAAAAAATGATAAAGGGGATATCACCACCGATCCCACAGAAATACAAACTACCATCAGAGAATACTACAAACACCTCTATGCAAATAAACTAGAAAATCTAGAAGAAATGGATAAATTTCTGGACACATACACTCTCCCAAGACTAAACCAGGAAGAAGTTGAATCTCTGAATAGACCAATAACAGGATCTGAAATTGTGGCAATGATCAATAGCTTACCAACCAAAAAGAGTCCAGGACCAGATGGATTCACAGCCAAATTCTACCAGAGGTACAAGGAGGAACTGGTACCATTCCTTCTGAAACTATTCCAATCAATAGAAAAAGAGGGAATCCTCCCTAAGTCATTTCATGAGGCCAGCATCATCCTGATACCAAAGCCGGGCAGAGACACAACCAAAAAAGAGAATTTTAGACCAATATCTTTGATGAACATTGATGCAAAAATCCTCAGTAAAATACTGGCAAACCGAATCCAGCAGCACATCAAAAAGCTTATCCACCATGATCAAGTGGGCTTCATCCCTGGGATGCAAGGCTGGTTCAATATACGCAAATCAATAAATGTAATCCAGCATATAAACAGAACCAAAGACAAAAACCACATGATTATCTCAATAGATGCAGAAAAGGCCTTTGACAAAATTCAACAACCCTTCATGCTAAAAACTCTCAATAAATTAGGTATTGATGGGATGTATTTCAAAATAATAAGAGCTATCTATGACAAACCCACAGCCAATATCATACTGAATGGGCCAAAACTGGAAGCATTCCCTTTGAAAACTGGCACAAGACAGGGATGCCCTCTCTCACCACTCCTATTCAACATAGTGTTGGAAGTTCTGGCCAGGGCAATTAGGCAGGAGAAGGAAATAAAGGGTATTCAATTAGGAGAAGAGGAAGTCAAATTGTCCCTGTTTGCAGACGACATGATTGTATATCTAGAAAACCCCATTGTCTCAGCCCAAAAGCTCCTTAAGCTGATAAGCAACTTCAGCAAAGTCTCAGGATACAAAATCAATGTACAAAAATCACAAGCATTCTTATACACCAGCAACAGACAAACAGAGAGCCAAATCATGAGTGAATTCCCATTCACAATTGCTTCAAAGAGAATAAAATACCTAGGAATCCAACTTACAAGGGATGTGAAGGACCTCTTCAAGGAGAACTACAAACCACTGCTCAAGGAAATAAAAGAGGATACAAACAAATGGAAGAACATTCCATGCTCATGGGTAGGAAGAATCAATATCGTGAAAATGGCCATACTGCCCAAGGTAATTTACAGATTCAATGCCATCCCCATCAAGCTACCAGTGACTTTCTTCACAGAATTGGAAAAAACTACTTTAAAGTTCACATGGAACCAAAAAAGAGCCCGCATTGCCAAATCAATCCTAAGCCAAAAGAACAAAGCTGGAGGCATCACACTACCTGACTTCAAACTATACTACAAGGCTACAGTAACCAAAACAGCATAGTACTGGTACCAAAACAGAGATATAGATCAATGGAACAGAACAGAGCCCTCAGAAATAATGCCACATATCTACAACTATCTGATCTTTGACAAACCTGAGAAAAACAAGCAATGGGGAAAGGATTCCCTATTTAATAAATGGTGCTGGGAAAACTGGCTAGCCATATGTAGAAAGCTGAAATTGGATCCCTTCCTTACAGCTTATACAAAAATCAATTCAAGATGGATTAAAGACTTAAACGTTAGACCTAAAACCATAAAAACCCTAGAAGAAAACCTAGGCATTACCATTCAGGACATAGGCATGGGCAAGGACTTCATGTCTAAAACACCAAAAGCAATGGCAACAAAAGCCAAAATTGACAAATGGGATCTAATTAAACTCAAGAGCTTCTGCACAGCAAAAGAAACTACCATCAGAGTGAACAGGCAACCTACAGAATGGGAGAAAATTTTTGCAACCTACTCATCTGACAAAGGGCTAATATCCAGAATCTACAATGAACTCAAACAAATTTACAAGAAAAAAACAAACAACCCCATCAAAAAGTGGGCGAAGGATATGAACAGACACTTCTCAAAAGAAGACATTTATGCAGCCAAAAAACACATGAAAAAATGCTCACCATCACTGGCCATCAGAGAAATGCAAATCAAAACCACAATGAGATGCCATCTCACACCAGTTAGAATGGCAATCATTAAAAAGTCAGGAAACAACAGGTGCTGGAGAGGATGTGGAGAAATAGGAACAATTTTACACTGTTGGTGGGACTGTAAACTAGTTCAACCATTGTGGAAGTCAGTGTGGCAATTCCTCAGAGATCTAGAACTAGAAATACCATTTGACCCAGCCATCCCATTACTGGGTATATACCCAAAGGACTATAAATCATGCTGCTATAAAGACACATGCACACGTATGTTTATTGCGGCATTATTCACAATAGCAAAGACTTGGAACCAACCCAAATATCCAACAATGATAGACTGGATTAAGAAAATGTGGCACATATACACCATGGAATACTATGCAGCCATAAAAAAGGATGAGTTCATGTCCTTTGTAGGGACATGGATGAAATTGGAAATCATCATTCTCAGTAAACTATCGCAAGAACAAAAAACCAAACACCGCATATTCTCACTCACAGGTGGGAATTGAACAATGAGAACACATGGACACAGGAAGGGGAACATCACACTCTGGGGCCTGTTGTGGGGTGGGGGGAGGGGGGAGGGATAGCATTGGGAGATATACCTAATGCTGGATGACGAGTTAGTGGGTGCAGCGCACCACCATGGCACATGTATACACATGTAACTAACCTGCACATTGTGCACATGTACCCTAAAACTTAAAGTATTATAATAATAAATAAATAAATTTTTAAAAAAAGACTAAAAAAAAAAGAATCTCTACCAGTACATCTTTAAGAGTGTTTATAACAAGAGACTTACCAACAAAGATTGACTTACTGTCACTCACTATATTAGTCAGTGTTCTCTTGAGGGACAGACCTAATAGGATATATATATGTGTGTGTGTGTGTTTGTACATATACGTGTGTGTATATATATATATGTGTGTGTGTGTGTGTGAGTGTTGTGTGTATATACATATAAAGGGGAGTTTATTTAAGTATTAATTTATATGGTCACAAGGTCCCACAATAGGCTGTCTGCAAGCTGAGGAGCAATGAGAGCCAGTCCAAGTCCCAAAACTGAAGAACTTGGAGTCTGATGTTCAAAGGCAGGAAGCATCCAGCATGGGAGAAAGATGTAGGCTGGGAGGCTAGGCCCATCTCTCCTTTTCAAGTTTTTCTGCCTGCTTTATATTCACTGGAAGCTGATTAGCTTGTGCCCACCAGATTAAGGGTGGATCTGCCTTCCCCAGCCCACTGACTCAAATGTTAATCTCTTTTGGCAACACCTAGGATTAATACTTTGTATCCTTCCATCCAATCAAGTTGACAGTATTAACCATCACACTCACTATATACTTAAAAAAACTTTTTTTTTAGGTTCGGGGGTAAATGTGCAGGTTTGTTATATAGGTAAAAACATAGCTGTTTCATAAAGCAAGCTATTATTATATTTAAAATACAGAAAAAATAACTTTATACTTAGTTGCTTCCAATTTGCATTCAGTTTTTTTGTTGAGGTTGCTCTCTCATTCCCTGTGCCTGTATAGATGAGCTGAGATATGTTAGTACACTGGAGTTTCCCTATGTTGCTGTTCTCAGAACCTAGGTCATGGGATTTATTTATGTGATTCTGCCTTCTAACCAATTTCCTTCTCTCCCTCCCTCCCTCCCTCCCTCCCTCCCTCCCTCCCTCCCTCTCTCTCTCACTCCCTCCATTCCTTCCTTCCTCCCTCCCTTCCTCCCTTCCTCCCTTCTTTCCTTCTTCCTTCTTTCTTTCTAAATATTTAAATAAATAGGGCTCTTGGATGGTGTGCTGGGCTCTGAGTAGAGAAGGTGAGCAGGAGAGCTACTGCCTTACCTGGCCACGGCTTGATGAGCTGTGCTGCAGGGGTTCTTTGTGCTTTGATAACTGCGTTCATGAGTTGCTGGCAGAGCACAGCTATCTCTGTGTTAGGTGGGAGGTGTTAATGAATCTGAGGAGGTGGGTGTGGCTGAAAAATGCCCTGGGAGTCTGCAGGGCCTTCTCTCTCTCTCACCTCTGAGCCTGCAGCCTCGACAAATCATGAAAGGCAAGGAGGGGAGTGGTAATCACAGGTTTTACTAACCTGTGGCTGAGACTGTGAAAGCTTGGGAGCAGCTTCTGGTGTTAATTTGCTGTTACTTTGACATGGGCCCCTGCTTTTTTGATACCCAGTTGAGGGTGAAATCCCAAGCTGTATTTCTTACCAGGTCTCCCCCTCAAAACGGCAGAGGTTTCACTCCCTGAGGAGCCCTCCGAAGTGACAGTAGGGTCCATGAGCAAGTTTCTTTCTCCCTGGAGTTCAACCACAGGAACCTGGGGGTGTCCAGGTCAGCGCTTTGGAGATTCTCCTGACCTTTCCCTCAATTCTATGATGGCCCTCACAGATTCAAGCTTCACATTTCTGGTTACAGCAGAAAGATGAGGAGAAGGATGGCATTAGCATGCCCCACCCCACTTATCAGGAAAACAAAAGCTTTCCCAGGCACTTCTGGCAATCGTTTATGTTTCATTTGCTACCCTTAGCTGTAAGGCAAGCTGTGAAAGTATTCCCTTTTTCCAGTCTCTTCAGAGGAGAGGGATGGGGCAGAGCTGAAAGTGGGTGCTGGTGGACCCGCAGTCATGTGTGCTGGGCATCCCCCCTAGCTGGGCCATCCTGTGAGTATAAAAGTGCTGTCCTAATGCTGGCAGCCTTGAGGCAGGTTGTTCATCACCCGCTCAAGCATTTCTAGGACTGGGTCAACTGCACATGTTCTGCATCACAAACCCTATAAAACATGGAAATGTCATCAGCAACACTTTAATATCTTTCTTTCACTTATTTCTTGAGTAGCATTTATGGAAAGCCAGCGGCGGTGTTGGATGGTGTTTTCAGGGTGGGAGTGACATGGATGATTCTCATTTGAGATAGCTTGCTCTGGCCCACTTCAGGGAATCAGGGTAATTCAGGATAGGAGAGGAGATGATCAGAAGAGAGAGGATGAGAACCGGGGTTATGGCTGCAGTTGTAGACATGGACAGGAGTGACAGGGTTTGAGAAATATTTAGGAGGCAAAATCTGCAGGACTTGTGTTGGGGAGTCTGTGAGGGGTGGAAGGGAGGAGGGTCAAGGTCGACTTCCAGGTGGCTGGCTTATGTGACTATGATGACAGATGCTAGCACTTCCAAATGAGATAAAGAATGCCTGGAATTCCAGAGGGAAAAAATCGAGTGTGGAAAATGCTAATGGAGGTAGTAGCTTCATTGATAACTCATTGGCACTGTTGCTGTGCAGAGGTGCTGTATGCCTCCCATTTAATTGTTCAAGCAGCCCTCTGGGCATTGGACTATGGCCATCTCCATTTTTCCCATGAGATAATGGTTGAAAGGATTAAGTAATTTACCCAGGTCACACCTGGAAAGTGCTGGGACCTCAATTTGGACCCAAGCAGCCTCTTCTACTTACAATGCTTACTACCTCCACCAAGGGAGCCTCCACCAAGGAGATGGTGGAGGTATGAATATGCTTCTGTTTGAATTGATGAGTGTGAATTACTTGAGGGACTTTCAGGTAAACCTGTCCAATAGATAATATGAGTCTGAAGCTTCGGGAGGAGGTTTGGGTTGGACAGGAGATAATTTGGATATCATACACACGTGGGCAAGCTCACTCAGAAAAAGGTAAATCAAGTCAGCAGTGGACTGAGGCTTAAGCCCTGGGGAAAACAACTTCTAAGGCATCAGTCCAGAAACTAGAGCCCCTGGAGGAGACAAAGACCAAATGAGCAGATAAACAGAAGGAAAATAAGGGGGTTGCAGTGTCACTCAATCCACGAGAGTTGTGTGTTTCAAGAGGAAAGCATGACCAATGTTATTAAATATAACTAGGAGATGCAGTGAGATAGGAACTTCCCACTGGAGTCAACAGTTGGGGGACACTGGTTGAACTCGGGTAGATTCCAAATTTTAATGGTCTAAAAGTCAAGGAGATGTGAGGAAATGGGTGTAGTCAATTTGGATGAATCTTTAAAGAAATTTGAAGGAGAGGAAAAGAAAATTTGGGTGGTAACTAGAGAGGAATGTGGGTGAGAGGAGGGGTGTTTCAATTTCAGTATTTGTTTCAGGATTGGAGGGACTGGAACATGTAGCAGGCAGAGAGGGAAGAATCAGTCAAGGAAGAATTCTGAAGATTCAGGAGGGACTGGAGGAGAAGCATAGAGGACAGGGGCACGGGTGAGGGGCTGAGTAGGAAGGAAAATTCCTCATCTTCCAAGGTTGTCGAGAAAGAGGTGAAGGAGGGTATGACTGCCGTAGGTGGAGAAGTATGAACTAAGCCTCATGCCTGACAATCTCAAGTTATTTAAAGATGTAGGTGGTGAGCAGGTGCTATAGGGTCTTAGAGGGGCAGATGAGTACCCTTACATCTGAAAACATCATCCATATCCTTTAAGACTATGTCTTCCTATGGATTTTGTTTCAGAAAGTCCAGGTAAAATCATCATGCTGATGTGTGATTTTCACATACATAACATACTTTCTCTATTGAGAAATGTCTTGCCCCAAACTGTGCAGCTTGTAACGTGTAGATAACTATTTCTTAGCCTATACTCTTTCAACTATTTTGTGCTGCATTTTGGTGAAAATAGACAGCCTATTTCATCATTTTGAAGCAACATTTATATAGAATGTCATTTCAGATTTTTGCTCCTATGGGTTTCTGCATTGATGATCAACGTGTTTATTTTTAAGCATCTCTGTGAAGTGACTAATAATGGCATCTAAGAAAGTAGGACAGTGTTTCCCAGAGTGTGTTCTCTATGAACACCTGTCATGTGAGATTCTCCTTGGGGGAAAAAAGTTCCATCATCAAATACAGTTGGATCATGCTGTGTTTTGTGTCTCTTCTCATAGAGGCCCAAGGCACATTAATATATAAAAGGCTATGAGTAGACACGTAGTCAAAAAATGAATCTTGTTTAGCCCAATAATTCCCAAAATTGTTCTACTATAAACACTACCCTACCACATTTTTATTTTTATAATACCATTGAATAAGGTGCAGAACTCATTCCAGGAAATGCTGAACTATAGAGGCATATTACCTCTATTCCATACAACACTGAGGCAGGTGGCTGACAGAACTTGAACAGATTTGTAGTCTATGTGTTGTGATAACTTTATATCCATTTTTTCTTTTTGACACTTAAGATTTTGTGCAAACATTGAAATAACTATTAATTTGGCATTCATATTTAGTAACTTTTCAAAAATAATTGTTAAGAGTATGTTTTTATATTTATTTTTCAGATATTTATTTGGCTTCTTTCAACCATAAAGCCTATTTATTTTCTTTTTGAATGTGCTTATTGAACTCTTATTTAATACTTTGTATGTGCAAAGCACCATATTGGGATTAGAGTAGTAAGATATGTTCATCCCTTGCCTCCAGAGGATTTGTTGTCCAGAGGGGACAGTCTGAGTAGGAAAGGCTGTGTTCAATGCCAACCTTTTGAACAAAATGCTTAGAAGCTACTTTGGAGGGAGTGACTGATGGCAAGAATAGTTGAAAGAATCCTCCAGAAAGTGCTATTTGAGGCGGGTCTCAAAAAACGAATAGAAATTGACCCAGGGGAATGGAAATTGTATACATTCTAGAAAAAAAAAAATAGAAAAGTTCAGTGGAGCATGACATTTTGGAAGCACACTGATGTCTTTGTATGACTTGATAAGAAGTTTAGATGTAATTCTATAAACAGCCAGAAGCCTCTGTAGTAGCATTTTAGGTAGAGTATTAAGATCTGATTTTTTTCTACTTTTTAGATTACTATAGCAGAAGTGTGGAAGATAAATTGGAGGACCGAGATTTTGTTAGGGACATTAGTAAGAGACTCAAGGGGGAAAAAAATCTCACTAATAAATGATAGGATAAATGGATGCTGCATGAGTTTGTATGATTTTTCCCCTCCTTTTTTTCCCCCAAAGGAACTTATGTTTACTTCTATAACTAGAAGTAGTAAAATGTGTGTGTGCGTGTGTGTGTGTGTGTGTGTATTTGCATAGTAAAATGGGACTCACCTGTAGTGAAGTAACACACTGTGGTCTGAGGACTAACAATATGCCCCAGTGGCTGGCCCTCTGCCATTTGTAGGCCATCTCAGGGATGACAGCTCACGTGATTAAAGGGCTAAATGAAGCCCTTTTTGGTGGGGAAAGAGGCGGCTTGGACTCAAGGCAGTGCCCAGTCAGAACCCGAGCTCCACCATGGATAGCAGTGACAGAATCACTTTACCCCACCCCCCATCACATTACTGTTTCCTCACCTGCAAATAAGGACTATACTATTTATTTTAAACAGCCATTTATGGGTTAAAGGAGATAATGTATAGGAAACCACTTTTTTATTCTCACAATAAACTGGGAGGCAGGGAAGGTAGAAATAAAACTTATTAAAAACATGGAAACCAATGTTCACAGGGATTAAGTGATTTACCCCAGGTTGTGGGCAAAGGATCTGAGCAAACATTTCTCAAAAGAAGACACCAAAATGGCCAACTGGCTTATGGAAGAATGCTCAACACCTCTAATCATCAGGGAAACGCAAATTAAAACCACAATGAGGTGCCACCTCATACCTGTTAGAATGGTTACTACCAAAGAGAATGATAACAAGCCTTGGCAAGAATGCAGGGAATAGAGAACCCTATACACTATTAGTGGGAATGTAAATTAAGGCAGCTGTTTTGGAAAGTCGTGTGGCAGTTCCTCACAAAACTAGCAATAGAACTAACGTGATTCAGCAATCCCACTTCTGGGTATGTATCTAAAGAAAATTGAAATCAGGATGTTGAAAAGATGTATGTAGTCTCATGTTCATTTCAGCATCACTCACAATAACCAAGATATGAAAGCAACCTAACCAATGGATAAAGAAAATGTGGTATATAGACACAATGGAGTACTATACAGCCCTTAGAAGAAGGAAAATTCTGCCATTCTCAACAAGGGTAGAACTGGAGAGCACTATGCTAACTGAAATAAGCCAGGCACAGAAAGATGAATACTGTATGATCTCACTTATATGTGGAATCTGAAAAAGTCAATCTCAGAAACACAGTAGAAAGTTGTTTACCAGAGGCTGGGGCTTGGGGGCAAGGAATGAGGAAAAAGAAGATGTTGATCAATGGGTACAAAGTCTCAGTTAGACTGAAAGAATAAGTTTTAGTGATCTACTGCATGGCTTGGTGACCACAGTTTAAAATAATGTATTGTATATTTCAAAATTGCTAAAAGAATAGATTTTTAATGTCTTCACCACAGTTACCTTTCTTTTTTCCATGTACATAGAAAAGAAAGGTAACTATGTAAGGTAATAAACATGTGAATTAGCTGATTGAATCTTTCTACAATGTATACATAGATCAAAACTTCACATTGTATCCCAATAGATTCCCCATAAGTGATTGTCTATTTTTTAAAAAACATCTACACACGCACAAAGAAAATGCTTCCAAAAGCAAATAGGAGGGCATTGCTCTCATGTCTTTTGTCTCCTGGTGGCAAAGACAACCATCACTGAACCTCCCAACAGAAATACCCAGTCTCCTTGTTACATCCATTCTGACAGCTTCATTAGTCACATAGGGGCTCTGACAATCCACAGGCCAAGTTCTGCCTGGAATTATTTGCCCATAGTTCTAGCTGAAGTGACAGAAACAGTTTAATCTCAAAGTAGGTGGGATTGCCATCCATATTTTGGTGCCAGAGACCTTACCATGTGCTTCCTCAGCCCTGCCCTGTCACCCACATCATGTCTGCAGAGCTGGAGTTTCCCAGTGAAGCTTATGGTCCCTAGGGTAATAGAGTCGCTGATGTCTTTGTCACATTAAGGGTGCCACACAGAGCACTTATGAAGGGCCATGGGTATCGGAATGAGAACACTCAGAACATCCACAAACGCTTCCTCCCTGACTGCCTCCTGTGCTTTCTCCCCTCTTTCCTATTCCCCTAATTTGCCTTCACCCTTGCTCCTATGTCTGTTTCTCTCTGTCTTCACACTTGTATCTTATGATGACCTCTTTCACTTACAAGAATTCATAAACGTGGCTCATTTGCACCCACATAATTGAAACTGTACTCCACCAGAAAGCGCTGGTCTGAACTCAGGGAGGACGGACTGTGGGCATTCCCTGGCTTTTCCACATAAATTCTAAGACATTCTTGCAGCATATGAAGCAAGAGGTGAAAAAGGTGGGGGAAAATATTTAATGAAAACAAATGTGCCCACTGCGATAACTTGCTCTTGAGTCTCTAATCTAAAAAGAGAGCATGCAAGTGGAATTACAGCCCACTAAAGAAAGGATCCAAATGGACTAAATATTCTTCATCTTTGCCCTCCAGTTACTCCAGAAGCATGTTGTAAGGATTAATGAGGGAATAACTGGAAGCTCTTTGAACTGCTTCGTGATAGTTCCTTCCTAATAAGATGACCCAATTACCAGCCTTATTTTCAATATTGCAACTATGTAGGAAAGCTAAATTCTTATGGTATTCCTTAAGGAAGGATAACCTTCATAAAATGCTACTATAACAGCAGCCAGAGCCAGACAGGTATTACACAACCATAAGACAGGCTATAAATAGCTGTACCTCTCTCTTGCTACCCTCTTCACCCTCTTTCTTCTCAGTATCTTGGCCTCTTTTCTGATCTTTTCTCTTCTTTCTTAAGATTTCTATTACTTTCATCCCGGCCTGTCTGTTTCTGTCTTGCTCTTCCTCTCTGTCTGTCTCTCATGCATACATACACACTGTCCTGTGGATGCACGTCTAGGTGTTAGTGGCAGCAAATGTACTGGAGTCCCACAGCACCAAAGTATGTTAGCAGCAGTGAATCCACATGGATCTACAGCAGCCTCAATTCTTGCCTCCTCATAAGGCAGGAGAGACTGGGGCAAGTTTTAGAGCAGGAGTGAAAGTTTATTCAAAAGCTTTAGAACAGGAATGAAAGGAAAGAAAATACACTTGGAAAAGGGCCAAGTGGGTAACTTGAAAGACAAGTGTACAGTTTGACTTTGACTTAGGGTTTTTGTTCGTTTTTTTGAGACAGACTCTTGCTCTGTCACCCAGGCTGGAGAGAAGTGGCGCGATCTCAGCTTACTGCAACCTCCACTTCCCAGGTTCAAGTGATTCTCCTGCCTCAGCCTCTCCAGTAGCTGGGATTACAGGCACTTGCCACAACACACGGCTAATTTTTGTATTTTTAATGGAGATGAGGTTTCACCATGTTGACCAGGCTGGTCTCAAACTCCTTACCTCAAATAATCCATCTGAAAGTGCTGAGATGACAGGCATGAGCCACCGCACCTGACTGACTTCAGGTTTTACCTGTTGGCATACTTCTGGGGTCTTGCGTCCCTACTCCTGTGATTCTTCCCTTAAGTGGTGTGTCTGCGTGTGCAGTGGCCTGCTAGCGCTTAGAAGCGGAGCATGCACAGTGCGTTTACTAGTGTTGTACTCGTGACCACTTGATGCATTTTTTCCTTACCAGTTGAGTGTCCCTGGAGGAAGGCCACATACTGGTTAAATTCCGCCATTTTGGCTCTTAGTGCGCATGCCTGAGCCCACTCACCCAACTGCTGAGGTTTTATTGGGAAGCTGCTGATCACCAGTTTCAGGTATTTCTGTTTATTGGGAGACTGCCCTTCCCTAGCACTGGCTGGGACCAATTATTATTTTAGAAGGACAGTTTAACAATGACCGTCACCTGATGGTCGCCTGCCATTCCTGGTGTGTGCGTAGTGGGGGAAGCCCTCTCCTCCCCTACTCATGCCTGACTAGGTACCTACTGTAGCATAGGTATTTACTCATTTGTTAGAGAAGTAATGGGAGTTACCCTTGGGAGGTGGGTCTGACCGTTTTTGTGTCTGTTCATGAGCATTTCTTTAGCCTTCAGGAAGCTGGGGCTGGATGTGCTAAATGTGCTGCCCATCTCTGGCTAAAGCCTAGCTTAGCCATTGGGATGCTCCTTCTCTGCACTGTTGGAGGTTTTGCTTTGGCTTCTTCAACTTCCTTGTCTATTTCCTTTCCAATTCTGTTTACAAATCTCTATAACATCTTGTCCCATGTCTGGTTCAGTGAATTTGTGATGCAGAAACCTCTGCTGTGTCCAGCAGTTTGTGACACCCCAGAGGGGGTTTAAGAGGAATGAAAGACCCCATCTCTGTCTTTTTTCTTTTTGAGTTGGAGTCTCGCTCTGGTGCCCATGCCGGAGTGCAGTGGCGTGATCTCAGCTCACTGCAACCTCTGCCTCCCAGGTTCAAGTGATTCTCTTGCCTCAGCCTCCTGAGTAGCTGGGATTACAGGTGCCCGCCACCAGGCCTAGCTAATTTATTTTTTGTATTTTTAGTAGAAACGGGATTTCACCATGTTGGCCAGGCTGGTTTCAAACTTTTGACCATCTCTGTCTTTAAAGAGCTTACTGTAGTTGGAGTGAGAGGAATTCCACAAACAATGAACACAGTCAGAGAGTATATAATTGAGCTATACTGATACAGTTGCCTTCCAGAAATGTGTGACACGACTGGCCGAAGTGACTCTGGGCAGTCAAGAGCAAGAGGATCAGCTAGAGTTGAAGGGTAAAATCTCAGAAAAGGGCAGGGAGGTCTTGAGATGACTCTTGAGGAACTGGGAGCATTCCAAGAGGGCTACGAAGTATGTACCCTCCATGCAAGGAGGACGGCATTCTTGGTAGTCCAGGAGCTTATTGTTCTGCTGATGCAAACAAGCTTCTAGTGAGAAGGAAATATTTCCCTGAATCAAGTGTCTGGCTGCATTTGGAGTTTGGACACCACTCAGTTTCAAGGCTCTGGAGTTGTAAGAAGCTTGCAGCGGCAGGAAAGGCCCATCAGGCAGGCCCATGAGGAATGTGCTCCCCTCATGCAATCAGTCTGCTGTTATTGCTTGGTTAGTGCCCAGGGTGGACAGGGGCCTTTTGTATTAAAGCAATTAATTTTACAAAAAGAGGAAGAAACCCTTATGTTTCTGTGACTAAAATGACGGAAATGAAGTAGTGGAGACAGCTGCAGTGGCATTTTCCATCAAACAGCTTTTCTATTTGTGCAACATATTTCTAAGTGATAGAAAATGACACACTCTCTCCATTACTTCACTTCCATCATTTCCATCATTTCAACCTTTTCTAACTTTCATATTTGTGAAACAAATTGCTTTAAACATGTCAAAGACATTTGAGTGGAGTGTTAGCCAAATTTTAAAAATAAAGATGATTCATAAAGACAGTGCTTGTGTTTATAGCCATCAAGACAAAATTTCAGGAAAAAAAATCACAGTCCTAATTACTGAAGGCGCATGCATAAGGTAATCATATTTGGAAGTTAGAAACAAATCTCTTTTTGCTCTCTGCCTCTTTTCCCTTAGATTTATATGGGTTGGTAAACCTGGCCTTGTGGTACTCAATCATCCTTGCTTCAGTGATTCACTAAGTAACCCCTTGCGAGTTGATTTCTCCAGCCTCTGGATTTATTTGCATTGTTATGCAATGGGTGGAACACCTCACTGCTGTTCTGCTCCTCAGCAGTTAGTTCTATCTTCTCTTACAGCTGATGCTTCTTGAGGGGAAAGGCCACCTTGTGTCTTTTGTTAGAGATAGGATGTTGCCAAGGGTAGGGCAACCAGGAGGGTATCCCTTAGCATGTAACTTTGAAGAATCAAGATTGGTGCTCCACACAAAGTTCGTTCAAAAATGTTTCTCTTAAGAAACTTAAAAACCTACATCGCTGATGGAAAAAAAAAAGGAAGGACATGAATATACAGGATAATTGTACAAAAATTGGGTACATGTATTGTTGTTGTTTAAAAGTTTTTTTTAAATTTCGAAACAAACTCCACTTTACAGAAAATTTACAAGACAAACCATACAAAGAACTGTTTTTTCCCAGAACCGTTATTAGAGTTGTCAATCTGATGTCTCGTCATCCCTGAATACTTTAGTGTGTACTACCTATGAGCAAAGACATTCTTCTGTGCAACCATCAAAATAAGGAAATTAACACTGATATTTGATGGTAGTCTAATCTTTAGAACACATTTGAGTTTTTCTACTTGTTCAGTAATGTACCTTATAGCAACAGAAGCTAGTCCAGGATCACATGTTATATTTAGATGTCATGTCTCATGTCTTTAGTTTTCTTTAATTTGGAACAGATTCATAATCTTGCTTTGACTTTCATGATTTGACACTTTTGAACATTACAAGGCAGTAATTTTTAGAATGCCCCTCCATTTGGGTTTGACTGATGTTTCCTCACTTGATGTTAAAATCAAGTCACGTATCTTTCACAGGAAGATTGCAGAAATGATGCTGTGTTCTTCTTGGTGCCTCCTACCTGGTTGCACATAACTTTTACAGATCCCATTACTGATGATGTTAACTTAACCACTCGATTAAGGTGGTGGCACAGGTTGAGTGCCCAGGAAGTAGACTGTGAAATTAGCATGCAAGCTGTTGATTAGGGAGTGCTGTTGGGATCAACTCCTGTGGAAGGAAGCAGTATTAGGTAGTGGGGGAGTCAGGCTGCAATGCACTCACACCAAAGGCCTCAGATGACCCTCTGTGAAACTCTGGAGCTGAGATAGCTCTTCATAGTGCTCCTGAGATGAGGACAAAGGGATGGGGCTTTGTTCCTCCATAGTGATCAGTCACTGGATGTGAGCCACCCCTGGAATGAGGTGTGACCCTGGATGAGGCAGTTTTCTTCTGCTAAGGCAACTCCCAAGGAGGCCTGAACCACCAAGGACTATTTTCTGTCATCACTCCCAGCAGCTGAGGATAAGCCTGTCGGTCATTTCCGAAGGTGTCTTGGGCAGAACATCACAGAGCCCAACACAGAGGTGACTGTTGGGGTTACCCCTGCAAAGTTATTCTTTGTTCCTTTTATAGTTAATAAGTACTTTATAGGAAATTATCTTGAGACTATAAAATCCCATTTATTACCAAAATTATTATTGATAGAATGATTGATTAATACCTGGATGAATCCTGATTTTCTCTTTTAATTAAATAGGTTACTTAAATCTTTTATTATCATTAAATAACTTAATGTTCAAACAGCCTCGATTTTGCCAGTTGGACTGTTCCAACTAGTTTCAGTATCCTTACTTCCTCATAGTCTGTTACAGTAAGATGTTTCAGGCCCGTTTTGAGTTTTCCCTGCACCTACCCTCAAAATAACCATTTATCTAAGGAGAAACATTTCTCCAAAGAACTCCACTTCATTTTAATAGAAAGTAGTATTTAGAAACCAAGGTCTAGATCCTAGGTGTGCTCATTAGTATTTTACCTCCTTTCAGTATTTCCCAATTCAACCTAGGTATATCTCACTTACCATTCTTTTCACCTCTCTGTCATACCTATGGTGACCCCTGATTCATGACTCTTGTCCTCCATACATTTTTTTTTTTTTTTTTTTTTTTGAGACGGAGTCTCACTCTGTCGCCCAGGCTGGAGTGCAGTGGCATGATCTCGGCTCACTGAAAGCTCTGCCTCCCGGGTTCATACCATTTTCCTGCCTCAGCCTCCTGGGTAGCTGGGGACTACAGGCGCCCGCCACCAGGCCTGGCTAATTTATTGTATTTTTAGTAGAGGCGGGGTTTCACCAAGTTCGCCAGGATGGTCTCGATCTCCTGACCTCGTGATCTGCCTGCCTTGGCCTCCCAAGGTGCTAGGATTACAGGCGTGAGCCACCAAGCCCGGCCGTCCTCCATACATTTTTTATCTTTGAGCTTGTCATTTACTGAGTCTTCACAATGTGCCAACAGTGTGCTCTGTGTTTGCATTAGTTTTATGTTGCTGTTGTAACAAAATATCATAATCTTAGTGGCTTAAAACAACAAACATTTATTATTTTGATATAAGGTATAATGATATATAAAAGGTGTAATGACATCTTAACTGAGCTCCTCCTACCTAGTGTCGTCCCTTAGGGAGGAATCAGTGGAATTCAGATCCTGATTATTCTGGCTCTAAATGGTCCAGAATAATCAGGATCCGATGGCTGGTCCTGGTATACCTGGTCTGACACTGGGCCTGGGATCTGGAAAGGTCTTAGAAGAAATTACATTGAGACTGTAAAATCCCCTGAGGAAGAAGACAAGGTCTTCAGAATGTGAAGTAAAGAGCATGCCCTCTCCCAATTTTATGCAATGAGTGAAATTCTATTATGGCAATTTATTCATTTAAGATATGAAGGAATTATTTTCTACAAAGTGTAAATATGGAGGTAAGAAGAAGTATTAGCACTCTTCTTAGACATTAACATTTTAGCAAAATGAATTTATTAGACTCTTGCCATTAACTGTTAGCTGAGACCAGTTCCCTTAGAACGAGTTGCCAAATGACCGTTTTCATGGGGAGCCATGCGATGTTCAATGACTAGGTGCTGCCAGGGAAGGCTGGCCCAGCTGAGTCCCAAAGTGAGGATTCTCCAGCCACTCCGCAAACAGTATGAAACTCCAGGGTACATGCTTAAAGCACTCTGGAATTTAAGTAGTGGCAGATGTTTTAGAAGAAATTCCACTGTGCCACTTTCCAAAGCACTGGAATTAGGTGTTATTTACGGAAGGCAATATTGTACCCCTTCAAGCCCACAAATAAAGAGGTACTCAGCAGTGACCTTTATTAAAGGCAAATCAGTGGGGAACACATGACCAGAGGAAATGAGAGAAGATTGGAATATATTCTAAGGCCTTAAAAAGATGTCAAGAACAATTGTGTTCCCCCACAAGGCATCATTAGGCAAGGATGGTCCAACCTCAATACGGTTTCTTTACATCCCTGTGTTTCAGCTACATCCGTGGTCTCCTGTATTGTTTATCTATGTCACTTGCAAAAAACTAGGCTTGAATACAGTTTTTTAAAAGTGATGCTTTTAAATATAAGCGGTAATCAACTTATGAAGGAACAATGAACATCTATAGTAAGCAAATAAACATCCACACATAAATATACATATGAATAAACAAAATGCAAATGTGTGTCATTCTTTCTGCCAGTCCTTTGAGTTCCATATTTGTTGTCATGTAGTTAATAAAGTCGTTGACTTCCCCCACGGTCTACTACTCTTGCTCTGTTATTCTCATGTGGCATTAGTATTATGAATTAAATTACAGTCTAAACTTGCGTATTTAATTATAAACCCATTGAGCACAGGAAATGTATCATATCTCAGCACATTCACCACCCTGTCTCCTCCAGATTAAGTGGTATCACTCTGCTCATCATAAGCACTAGTAAACATCTGTTTAAATAAATGTTTATTGAGTATGTATTGTAAATATCCACTTGTAGGTTAATACTAGATGGACTGTACCATACTCCTTAGAATGTTTTCTATGTTGATTTTTGTTTCTCCAGTAATTGCTTTAATCTCTGGCAATGCAAACTCATTTAACACTTGCTTTTATATATTGCATTCATATATACTCCAAAGACAAACAAATGCTTTATCAGAATTACCAGTGATTTATTCTCATTATTGTTGCCATTCAATTATTAACAGGAATTGACTGTTTTAGCAAAAATGTCATCAGTTGGCCTGTTTTGTTTGGAAGACATTCAGCTAAACTTTTTCCTTTGTTGGCTAATGACACTTTATTTTTTAAGTCAGTTGCCATGATTTTAACGAAATGAGCCTTTCTTGTAAAACCTAGAAGGCTCATTCTGCTCATATAATGGATGGAACACAAGCAAATGAGCAAATGGTGCTTTGGCTCCATAGACTTGCCATTTGCTGGGGGAAATTCAGTTGCTGTAGGAGATTCTTTACGGCATGTGTTCTGAGCTGACTGAGAACATGAAAGAGATGGGTCTCGAAGATGCTAAATGCAGTGCATCTGGTCAGTGACCTTCATGTTCAGTGCAAAGTGTGCCTCCCCACCAAGTCCCTCTCCACCCCTTGGGCTTCCAGACCCCAGCACGAGGGGTCAGAAACCCAAGAAATATGGAAACATTCTTTGTCAGTTGAAAGAATTGCATAACAGTTGGGGTCAGATGGGGCAAAAAGCTGGGTATGCAGTTTGGTTTATAACTGTGAAATCTGGCAAACTACAATAAATTAGACATTGTGACACCAACATCCTATTTCTCTGTCTCACATCTCTAGATCTTAAAGAGTTTAGCCTTCATGGATTGATAGAATAACACAGTCTTGTTTAAACTCATGCCAAGGAAGGGCTGGAAACTGCCCTAGAAACAATGGTCATGTAGATGAACTTTGTGCTTCTGGTGGCCACATTTTTTATACCATGTCCCCTGAGCAAGTTTCCCTATTTCCAACCTCCACTTTCCTCCCTATTTCCAACACCCAGTTCCAGCTTTTAGGAAAGGTACATAGTGCAGTAAATTTAAGCAAACACATTGCCTTTCCCAGGGATATAAACATTTCAGCATCATCTCTAATTTCTCTTCTGTTGGTAGGATTTTCATTACCAACAAGCAAAGGGGGAATATTGAGAGGTCAAGAGATCTTCATAGCAATCCTGATTGCTCTCCTGCAGTCTTCACAGAACAACCAAAGTGATTTTTTAAAAGAACTTAAAGCAGACCATGCCTCTTTTCTAGTGACTGCTTTTCTCAATCAGAATAAGATCCAAAGTCCTACAAAGCCCTGCTTGATCTGGCTGTCTCTGACATCATCTTCCATGGTTTCCCCTGCTCCAGGAACTTTCTCGTCTCCCACAATTCCCCTGCTCAGGCACTGTCACCTCCCACAATTCCCTCTGCTCCAGGCGTCTAATCTCCCCCAATTCCCTCTGTTCAGGCACCTCATCTCCCACAATTCCCTCTGTCCCAGGCATCTTATCTCCCACAGTTCCCTCTGCTCAGGCACCTAATCTCCCACAATTCCCTCTGCCCCAGGCATCATACCTCCCCCAATTCCCCTGCTCAGATACCTCACCTCCCACAGTTTCTCTGCTTCAGGCACATTGGCCTCCTCAAGCATGCCAAGTACCACCTCCCACAGGGTCTTTGCACTGATGACACCTGTCCCCTGATATTTGCACTGCTCATTCCCTCACTTTTCTCAAGTCTCTTCTCAAATGTCTCCTCTGGCCACTGTCTCTAAAATAGCACCCCCAGCTCTGACCCTCTCTGTCCTCTTAAGCTGCTCTAGTCATTTTTTCATAGCACTTGTCTCCGTTTGACGTATCATGTATTTATTTGTTTATTGTCCGTATACTCCCACTAGACTATACACTCCATTAATCTTTATGTGTTGACACTGCTGTATTCTCAGTACCTAGAACAGTGCCTGGCACTTAAATGGTGCTTAATAAATAACCTGTTGACGAAAAAGATCCTGAATCGTGCCACAGCAACAATTACTTGTTAATTGAAAAATCACAAATCTATACATTTGGAAAGGAGTCTTTATTTCTTATAAAAGGTTACAGCCTGCAGAGTGACTATCCGGACAGGCTGAGAAGCACAGCCTCTGGCAGAGGCTGAAAGGTGGGCACTTCAAGGGAAAGGAAGATGGAACAGGAATTTATGCTGAGCTGGTTGGCCAAATATACATATTCCACAGGTTACAGGAGGAGCTATGAACATTTATGAAGAGGGTCTTAATGTATGCATACTGAATAAACATGCATGTTATGTGTGACCCATGTTCGCTTTGGGGTGAGACTTAACATTTATATGTGCTTCAGTTAGGCCCTATACATCAAAAGGTGAAGCAGGGACAGGAATGCATTGTAGTGTGCAGCTTCGGTAAATCGTCCAGAACCAGTCCATGGTTGATAGTCTCTTACCAGGAGAAAGATGCTGAAATCAGTCTCTTACGCAATCAAAACTGTAGTTGTGGCTGGTGGAATGTGAGTTAGTTAGTCAGCATCTGGTGATGGATGAACTGTAGTTGTTCCAACATTGCTCATCTTGAGACCAGGGCTTGTTTAGCTGCTAGACAAAAAGAAAAACTTTGTGGCAGTTAGAACATAGTTTATTCTTTAAATGCAGGGGTTCATGACTTAATCCTTGCCTGGTGTGGCCTTGGGTCTTGTTTATAATTATATATTTTATTGCCACAGTGTCAGTCTTTTTTTTTTTTTTTTTTTTTTTTTTTTTTTTTTTTGAGACGGAGTCTCGCTCTGTCGCCCAGGCTGGAGTGCAGTGGCGGGATCTCGGCTCACTGCAAGCTCCGCCTCCCGGGTTCACGCCATTCTCCTGCCTCAGCCTCCCAAGTAGCTGGGACCACAGGCGCCCGCCACTACGCCCGGCTAATTTTTTGTATTTTTTAGTAGAGACGGGGTTTCACCGTTTTAGCCGGGATGGTCTCGATCTCCTGCACAGTGTCAGTCTTATGATCTCTATTTTAACATTGATTCTGTTCAATTTTGTCTAAACAGCAAAAGGAAAGGGAATATAGTGAGGTGTGTACCACCTCCCATCCCATCATGGCTGCGGCTCAGTTTTTAAGGTTTCTCTGGGGTCCCCTTAGCCAAGAAAGAGTCTGTACAGTTGGTTGGGAGTGGGGTGGGGATAAGATTTTACTTTTAGTTCTCACACCTTATTCACTACCTGTGTGGTTATGCTCAGAAATAAAAATAAAATAAGTTTAGTAAGATTTCTTTGCTATTATAGCCATCAGACACCATATAATACGGAGAATAATAATTTGTTCAGTTTATGAAATGCCCTTCACACACACTATTGTTTAATCCTCATCTTCTGGAATGCCAATTTTACAGATGGAAAATGCACTGAGAGGGTTCATTAGCCTCCCCAGTCACAGCTCTGGACCAAGCCGACCTGGGTTCAAATGATTGTTCTGCATCCTGATAGCTATGTAGCCTAGAGCTAGTTACTTAAGTTACCTGAGCCTCAGTTTTCCCATATATAAAATGGACATAACCCTTAAAGGTGATAGAGCAAATAGAAACTGCTCTAGATTTGTAAGCAGTGGGAGCTTACTGGAGGCAATTGGGTACACAAGCGAGTGAATGACTAAGAAGCCAAACAAACGACATGGTGAGGCAACCCAGGAATTAGGAACAGTAGAAAACTGCCACCACACCAGGAGCTGGAGGCACATGGAGGAGGAGGTCCCATCAGAACCCAGAAGGCATCAGCAGGTGCTGGAGCCATGGAGGAGACTCAGACTCTCACCTCAAGACAGAGAGAGCACAGGAGACACACCCTGACATCTCCCCTCCTCCTGCTTCCAATCCTCTCTTTGGCCGAACCTACCTCGAAGTCAGAGAGCAGAGGAGCGTGGGAACATGGCTTCCTGTGGAACCTGACAGAAGATTCTAGGGGTGCAGGCAATAGGTCTGAGAACAGCCAGTCTGTCAATAGGTGGAGTTGCTGAGACAAACTATAAGTGGTTGTTATTCCCGAATGGACAACAGGAAACACAAGTCCAGATTCTTTGACTCCTGTTCCTCCTGGTCCTTCGGAATTGAATGGGCAACGTGAACAAATCTGCAGTGTAATGTTATGCTCTGTAACCAACTTTGTCTACATTGTAGAACATTTTCTGCTGGTTATTTTTTCTTAAAGACTAAAAATATCCTGTCTTCTCTTAAATGAGGCAACACACATGTGGGTTAGGGAATTTCTAGAAAACTAGCTTCCTGGAGTAAATTTGTATCGCAGTTAACAACACCAGGTCCTAACTTTTGGAGCAAACTCCTCATAAAGCAGCATGTTCTCCCATGCTTGAAGCTTAGTCTGGAATCTTTGGGTTAGAGGGAATGACTGTTTGGTTCATGGCTGTATCTCACTTAAAACAGTGCCTAGGGCCAGGCACAGTGGCTCACGCCTGTAATCCCAGCACATTGGGAGGCCAAGGCGGGTGGATCTCTTGAGGTCAGGAGTTCAAGACCAGCCTGGCTAACATGGCAAAATTCCCTATCTACTAAAAGTACAAAAATTAGTGGGTGTGGTGGCCCACACCAGTAGTCCCAGCTACTTGGGAGGCTGAGGCAGGAGAATCGCTTGAACCTGGAAGGTGGAGGTTACAATGAGCTGAGATGGCACCCCTGCACTCCAGCCTGGGCAACAGAGCAAGACTCCGTCTCCAAACAAAACAAAACAAACAAAAAAAATAAAAAAAATGGTGCCTGGCACCTTGTAGGCACTGAAAAACTCTTTCAAGAATGAACAAAACCTGGGGTCGCCTATGGCTCTGCCCCCCTACTTAATGCCAACATCAAATACCTGTTGCGTCTACTTCCTGCTTCCGCTGGCACCCCTCCACTTACCTTCCCCCGAGAGTCAGTCAAAGACACCATCATGCCTCCCTTGAGCACTTCAGCACCCTCTGACTGGTTTCCTTGCTCCACTCTTGTCCCTCTCAAACCATTTTCCATCTTGCAGACAGACTGATCTTTCTAAAATGTAATCTCACCAGATCACTTAAGCTTTTCAATGGCTCCTGCCCCATCTCCATCCCCTCCCTAGGACACACTCTACATACCTTTGCACAGCGTTGGAGGTCCCTTTGCTTTTTACCCTCCCTGGGTCAAATGCTTCTTCTGCCACAGGTATCCTGAGTTTCCTGCCATTCCCTTTATGCACCATCCTTTCCTTATTCCCTCAGTTGGTTACTCCCCCAGCTGGGAAGACTTTTCTCTACCTTTTCCACCTTTAAGATTGTATCCCAAAACCACATTCTCTGAGGAATCTTCTTCAACTTCCACAGACACTGTTAGCCACTTCCTCCTCTGGGTTTCCACACTGTGTTCCTCGTGACCAGTAGTCCCAGGAAGAGGCTGGCATGCTGTAGGAATGTTTAAAATGCATGCACATTTCACTGAAGGGGCTTCACAGTCCTCTTTCTCAGAAATAAGCCATTCTTAGGGAGAAATTCTCCTATCTCAATGCTGTTCGTATTTTCTCTGAAGTTCATGTTATGTTCTTACTTCCTGTGAATGCCACTGGCATCATCCTGAGACAGGGTGTCCTCATGTTCACATTCCTGCCTTGGTTAGCCATCTAAGTGGTGCACTTCTTAAAGCCAGGGACCAGGTAGTCAGCATCAGGTGACAGCCTTATGATTTCTTTCTGATTCACTCAAAAAACCTAGCACGATGCTGGTTTCATGTATATCCCACAAAATTACGCCTTACATTTACTCCAAAAGAGGCTTTAAGTGATGTAGGAAGCACTGAAAGAAAAGTAAAATAAAATCAAGGTAGAAAAGACACCTTAACAAGTACCTAGCTTCCATTTGCCAAATATTTATTGAGCACCTACTACGTTCCAAACATCATGCAAGCTGCTGGGTATACAAAGTTAAACAAAACTCCATCTCTGTCTTCACAAAGTTTCCCCCCAACCCTACCTAAGTTTGCCTGAGCTAGAATAAACATGGCCAGGAAGGTCTCTTTTCTTTAGGAAACATCTGGAAATATGTATGTAATCTGCCAATGGCAACTTAGCAATGGAAAGGGCGGATTTCTACAGTCCTCAAAGAGATGATTTGCTTTTGAATACTTGTGTTTCTCTCCTCTTAGTTGCTATCATCCATGATTTCTGTGCCTTTTTGATTGTTTCTTTTTTGGTGGTGGCATTTTGTTTTTGTAGCTGGTAACCTGGTATTTCTAAGAGTTATTTGGTGACTTATTCCCACTTGGTCTCAGCACACTCCCTTTCCATCCTAAGACTGTTAGCACAAGTTTTGCTTCCTTTTCCAAAGCAACTGTATTCACACTTCCAGCGCTGCCACATACATCATGCTGTTACCTTCATACTTCAAGGGCCCATTTGGAAATAGATTGATTATTTTGAACATGAAAGGTGCGCCTTGGGAAAAACAAATGAATCAAATGGAAAAATGAATTAACATCATGAAATTTACCTTCTCAGCTGAAGACATGATAGATTCCTGTGTTCCTTAGAGACAGTCCTCTTATAAGAATGAACTCTTAAGGGAAGTCTGCAGGTAGATGGAGTCAGGGCTCAGCTTAAAATGTGTTTATATAAGAATGGAAAACACCCTCTGAGGAAGAAGCTTAGAAATAAAAAAGTTTCTTTCTTGTGAGGGGTGCTTGGATTGAACACCCAGATTGCTGTGGGCATCTCATTCCAGAGCTTCTAACATCTCTATGATGATCTTAGTGGGGCTTGCCATTTGCAGAGAGCTCAGTTCAGCCTCACTGACATTTATTAGGTACCGACTGGGTACAAAACACTGTGACATTCTATGGGAGCTATACAGACATATTAGACAATGTCTTCAGTTCAGTTTAACAAGCGGAATAGATATCTAAGTGAATAAGGAGAAAAATGTTTGTTTGGGCTTTTCTGGCAAATAATTGTTATAGGAAAAGGGGTCTCGATGCAGACCCCAAGAGAGTGTTCTTGGATCTCATGCAGGAAGGAATTCAGGGTGAGTCACAGAGAGCAGTGAGAAGAGATAGTTTATTAAAAGCTGCTCCATTACAAAGTAGGGTATCCTCAGAAAGCAAGTGGAGGAATGCGCTGTCATTGTTTTAAGCTTTTCTTACATAGGAGTCTTGTCTATGTAAAGACTAAACAAAGCTGTGCTTTTGTGTGGGTAGGATGACAGCATGACAAAATTTATTATTCTATTGATTTAAAGAAAACTATCCTTGACATTTTAGTGTGTGAGTATATCAAAGCATAACTGTAATTCTCTTGAAAGTATATATCATTATGGGTATTGGGACATCTGGACTTTCTGTTGTTGTAGGAGTTTGTCCTTGCAGGCATTACTAAGTTGTTTCCTTAGCTGTCAACATCTTAGGACCATGGGTTTTGACTGGCAAGGAAAGTGCCTTGCTAGTTTTCAGATGCAGTTGATTTAAAAAGGTTGTGACCCTGGCTCTCCTACGTTCGTTTCCCTAACGATATGGCCAGAAGTCTTCTTATTACTAAGTATAGCATATGAGGGGCACAGACTGCAGCCACTGGACTTACAGATGACATGCCCAAAAGAGGAGAGAAGTGGGAGTGTCCTGAGTTATCAGCTTCTTTATTTTGGAGCACGAGAGGGAGCAGTGATTGATAGATGTGTCTACTCAGTCACTGATACCAACCCTCCTTGATGGCAAGTATGTTCTTCCAGGTCCTAGGCATGAGAGAGGTGGAGTCAGAACAGTTCTATTAGGAACAATATTCAACCATACTGACCATACCATGTGCTATTTGATGTCCTTTCTAGACTACCTGGGAACCTAATCACCACCTAGGACATTGTATTTTTAATGTAAAAATATTTCAAAGCCATCAACTAACCCAAAAGATTAATTTTTTAAAAGGCAATGAATTCTTCTAGTGGGCACTACCAATGCAGGGCTTTGCGTGCAGTGGGCTCTCTGGT